>NC_000006.12:47938787-48241818 GCF_000001405.40 Homo sapiens | reverse complement strand
CCTTTTTATAAACATAATAATTTTTGTTAGAATAGTTATTAAATAATTACATGTAAAATTAATTACTGGGTCAAATGTTAGATTAAACAGTTTGGGAAATGCCAAATTTAACAGCTCTTTCCTGAAAATTTTTGTAGATCTTTAAAATACCCCTGTGCAGTGTTTGACTGTCACAGAAAATTATCTTATGTACAATGTTTCAATTGATTGACCCCAAATTCCCTCCGTTTTATTTATCCTGTATTCCATTTCTCCTTCTCTTACTTTTCTTCCTTTCCTTCAATTTCTTATTTCTTTCTTTTCCACTGTTTTCTTTCCTTCCTTCTTTTCTTCTTTTTTTTCTTAGTTTTTAAATATAATACCCTCCTAGATTGGTCATTTGTAGGACACCTTCGATACATATCATTACTATTTTAGATAATGCACTTTAGCTGTTGCTTTCTGTAAAATTACATGGCCCTATACCAACAAATCTGTTTCAGTGCTGTCTGTCTTATAATCAACTTCTAATTTTAATTGTGTTGTTAAGAAAACTTTGAAGATCTGGGAGATAAATATTCACTGCCATGTTATTTTCAGAATTGGGTAAATTTAATCCACATAAAGCTTCCATTTTTGTGGGTCAAAAATTGTCTAATATTAGCAAATAGAGATTCAACCTAATACTGTATCTATCAATTACAATAATAATAATTTATATTTATATATAAATTTATAGTTCTCAAATCACCAACATGACACTTTGAGCCTATCCATTTAAGATCTAAAGTATTTTATCCATTTTGATAGGAATAGTCTGGCAGGGAGATAAAATTGCTGAAGTTAAATGTATATGTTTTGGAAACAAATGCACCAGGTTTACTGTGTAATTATTCCAAACATTTTGACAGAGGAAATGTTCTAGGTGGGCCAAACACCACACACACACACACACACACACACACACACACACACACACACAATTGACCTGTCAGAATGTCTGTCTATATAAGTATCTTCATCTACTCAATTATTTATTCACCAATAAACACTTGCATTATCTACTTTGTGGTGGCTTAACTACAAGTTGCTCAAAATATACTAGAGGAGGCCTGGCGTGGTGGCTCACGCCTGTAATCCCAGCACTTTGAGAGGCCGAGGTAAGCAGATCACCTGAGGTCAGGAGCTGGAGACCAGCCTGGCCAACATAGTGAAACCCCGTCTCTACAAAAATACAAAAAATAGCCAGGCATGTTGGCGGGTGCCTGTAATCTCAAGCTACTCAGGAGGCTGAGGCTGGAGAATCAGTTGAAACTGTGAGGCGGAGGTTGCAGGTTACAGGAGCCAAGATTGCGTCATCGCACTCCAGCCTGGGTAACAGAGCAAGACTCCATCTCAAAAAAAAAATAATAATAAACTAGAGAAGGTATCATATTGTAATTATTGCCATCTAGTAATTTATCTGCTGTGAGAGAGGGATTCTTATTCAGTTGATCAGAGATAGAGCTCTGTATTGCTTTTTCTTAAAATTTCACTAGGCGATTTTATTGTCCTGTCAAAGTTGAGAACCACTGTCTCAGAGAAGTCTGAAGCCTACTTCTTTCTCCCTATGGCAAATTCTTTGCCAGAGTCCACATTTACTTACCCAGTTTTTCCAGAGATCTATAGTCAGAAGCTGGATCATCTGAAATTTACATGTCTTTGAACACCATAGATTCAACCTCACTGAATTTTATTTTAATGATTCTGTTTGTATTCAAAGGATATTGAAGAATTTTAGACAAGTATACACCATTGCCATTTATCTTTTTGTCAATTCTGTATCAGTTAAATGTTCTTTTGATTCCTGTGAAATGTTAATATGTTTTAATATTATATTTTATTTTTTAACTTTTACTTTAGATTTGAGGGTACATGTGAAATTTTGTAATAAAATATTTTTTTGATTTTTAATAATAGCCATTCTGACTGGCATGAGATAATATCTCATTGTAGTTTCGATTTAATTTCTCTAATGATCAGGGATGTTGAGCTTTTTTTCATATGCTTATTGGCCACATGTATGTCTCCTTTTGAGAAGTGTCTGTACATGTACTTTGCCCACTTTTTAATGGGATTGTTAATGGGATTGTTTTTCTCTTGAGAATTTAATTTCTTTATAGACATTGGATATTAGACATTGGATATTAGACATTTGTCTAATGTATAATTTGCAAATATTTTCTCCCATTCTGTAGGTTGTCTGTTTACTCTGTTGATAGTTTCTTTTGCTGTGCAGAAGCTCTTAACTTTAATTAGATCCCATCTGTCAAGTTTGCTTTTGTTGCAATTGCTTTTGGTGTCTTTGTCATGAAATCTTTGCCCATTCTGCTGTCCAGGATGGTATTGCCTAGGTTGTCTTCCAAGGTTTTTATAGTTTTGGGGTTTATATTTAAGTCTTTAATCTATCTTGAATTGATTTTTGTATATGCTGTAAGGAAGGGTACACTTCAATCATGTGCATATAGCATATAGCCAGTTATCCCAGCACCGTTTATTGAATAGAGAGAACTTCCCTCATTGCTTGTTTTTGTCAGCTTTGTCAAAGATCAGATGGTCAGGTGTGTGGACTTATTTCTGGGCTCTCTATTCTGTTCCATTGGTCTATGTGTTTGTTTTTGTACCAGTATCATGCTGTTTTGATTACTGTAGCCCTCTAGTATAGTTGGACATCAGGTTATGTGATACCTCCAGTTTTGTTCTTTTTATTCATACATAAGATTGCCTTGGCTATTTGTGCTCTTTTTCAGTTCCACATGAGTTTTAAAATAGTTTTCTCTAGTTCTGTGAAGAATATCATTGGTAGTTTTATAGGAATAGCGCTGAAGCTATAAATTGCTTTGGGCAGTGTGGCTATTTCAATATTGATTCTTCCTATCCATGAGCATAGGATGTTTTTTCATTTGTTTGTGTCCTCTGTTTTCCTTGAGCAGTGCTTTATAATTCTTCTTGTATAGATCTTTCACATTCTCCCTGGTGAGTTGTATTCCTAGGTAGTTTATTCTTCTTGTGGCAGTTGTGAATGGGACTGCCTTCCTGACTTGGCTCTTGGCTTGGCTGTTTTTTAGTTTAAAGGAATGCTAGTGATTTGGGGACATTGATTTTGTCTTCTGAAACTTTGCTAAAGTTGTTCATCAGTGGAAGGAGCTCTGGAGTTGAGACTATGGGGTTTTCTAGATATAGAATCATGTTATCTGCAAACAGAAGTAGTTTGACTTCCTCTCTTCCTATTTGGATGCCCTTTGTTTCTCTTGCCTGAATGCTCTGGCTACGACTTCCAATACTACATTGAATAGGAGTGGTGAGAGAGGGCATCCTTGTTTTGTGCCAGTTTTCAAGGAGAACACTTCTAGCTTTTGCCCATTCAGTATGATGTTAGCTGTGGGTTTGTCATAGATGGCTTTTATTATTGAGATATGTTTCTTCAATGCTTAGTTTACTGAGAGTTTTTAACATGAAGGAAGGTTGAATTTTATCAAAAGTCCTTTCTGCATCTATTGAAATAATCATGTGGCTTTTGTCTTTAGTTTTGTTTACATGATGAATCAAATTTATTGATTTCTGTATGATGAAACAACCTTGCATCCCAAGGATAAAACCTACTTGATTGTGGTGGATTAGTTTTTTCATATGCAGCTAAATTTAGTTTGCAAGTGTTTTGTTGAGGATTTTTGCATCAATATTCATTGAGACTATTGGCCTAAAGTTTTCTCTTTTTGTTGTGTCTCTGCCAGGTTTGGGTATCAGAATAATACTGGCCTCATAGAATAAGTAGAGGAGGAATTCCCTCCTTCTCAATCTTTTGGAATAGTTTCAGTAGGAATGGTACCAGCTCTTCTTTTTATGTCTGGTAAAATTCAACTGTGAATTCATCAGGTCCTAGGCTTTTTTTTTTCTTTTTGTTTTTGTTTTTTGTTTTTTTGTTTTTGGTTGGTAGGCTATTTATTACTGATTTTGTTTCAAAGCTTGTTATTTGTCTGCTCAGGGAATCAATTTCTTCCTGGTTCAGTCTTGGGAGAGTGTATGTGTCCAGGCATGTATTCATCTTTTCTAGGTTTTCTAGTTTATGTGCATAGAGGTGTTCATAGTAGTTTCTGATGGTTATTTTTCTATCTGTGGGGCCAGTGGTAATATCCTCTTTGTCATTTATAATTGTCTTTATTTGGATCTTCTCTCCTTTCTTTTTTATTAGTCTCATTAGTGACCTATCTTACTAATTTTTTCAAAAAGCCAACTCCTGGCTTTGTTTATATTTTGAATGGTTTTTGTGTCTTCATTTTCCTTCAGTTGAGCTCTTATTTTGGTTATTTCTTGTTTTCTGCTAGCTTTGGGGTTGATTTGTTCTTGCGTCTATAATTCTTTCAGTTGCGATGATAGGTTTTTAATTTGAGATCTTTCTAACATTTTGATTTGGGCATTTAGTGCTATGAATTTTCCTTTTAACACTGCCTTAGATATGTCACAGGGATTCCGATATGTTGTATCTTTGTTCTCATTAGTTTCAAAGAACTTCTTTATTTCTGCCTTCATTTCATTATTTCCCCAAAAGGCATTCAGGAGCATGTTGTTTAATTTCAATGTGATTGCAGGTTTTTAAGCAATTGTCTTAGTCTTGACTCCTATTTTTATTGTGCTGTGGTTTCAAAGTGTGTTTGATATGATTTTGGTCCTTTTGCATTTACTGAGGATTATTTTATGTCCAATTATATGGTTGATTTTGAAGTATGTGTTATGCGGTGATAAGAAGAATGTACATTTTGTTGTTTTGGGGTGGAGAGTTCCACAGAGGTCTATCAGACCCGTTTGCTTCAATGTTGAGTTCAGGTCCTGAATATATTTGTTAGTTTTCTGCCTCAATGATCTGTCTAATACTGTCAGTGGAGTGTTGAAGTCTCCCAGTATTATTGTGTTAGAGTCTACATCTCTTCGTAGGTCTCTAAGAACTTGCTTTATGAATCTGGGTGCTCCTGTGTTGGGTGCATATATATTTAGAACAGTTAGCTCTTCTTGTTGAATTGCATCCTTTATCATTATGTAATGCCCTTCTTTTTCCTTTGTTGGCTTAAAGTCTGTTTTATCTGAAATTAAAATTGCAACCCCTGCTTTTTTTCTGTTTTTCATTTGCTTGGTAGATTTTTCTCCATCCTTTTATTTTGAGCCTATGGGTGTCATTACATGTGAGATGGGTCTCTTGAAAACAGCATAACATTGGGTCTTGCTTCTCTCTCCAGCTTCCCACTCTGTGCCTTTTGAGTGGGGCATTTAGCCCACTTCCATTCAAGGCTACTATTGATATGTGTGGATTTGATCCTGTCATTGTGTTGTTAGCGGGGTGTTATACTGGCTTGTTTGTGTGGTTGCTTTATAGTGCCATGGGTCTGTGTATTTAAATGTGTTTTTTTAATTAACTGGTAGTGGTCTTTGCTTTCTATATTTAGTGTTCCTTTCAAGACCTCTTGTATGGCAGGACTGGTGGTAACAAAGTCCCTCATCATTTGCTTATCTGAAAAGGATCTCATTTCTCCTTCACTTAGGAAACTTAGTTTGGCTAGCTATAAAATTCTTGTTCGAAGATTTTTTTCTTAAAAAAATGTTGAATATAGTTTCCCAATATCTTCTGGCTTGTAGAGTTTCAGCTGAGATGTCCACTGTTATCCTGAAGGAGTTCCCTTTGTAGTTAACCTGCCCTTTCTCTGTAGCTGCCTTTAAAATTCTTATGTTTCAACCCTGGAAAATCTGATGAGTATATGTCTTGGCAATGATATTCTTGTATAGAATCTTGCAGGGGTTCTCTGTATTTCCTGAATTTGACTTTTGGCCTCTCTAGTAAGGTTGCAAAATTTTCATGGGCAATATCCTGAAATATGTTTTCCAATTATTTGCTTTCTCCTTCTCCCTTTCAGGGGTGCCAATGATGCATAGATTTGACCTCTTTACATAATCCCATACTTCTTGGAGGTCTTGTTCATTCATTTTCATTCTCTTTTATTTTTGTCTGAATGTCTTATTTCAGAAAGCCAGTCTTAAAGTTCTGATATTTTTTTCCTCAGCTTGGTCTATTTTGGTGTTAATACTTCAGATTCCATAGTGAAATTCTTGTATTGTGTTTTTCAATTCTGTCAGGTCCATTAGATTCTTTTTTATGCCAAGTATTTTGTGCTTAAGCTCCTGTATCATCTTATTGTGACTTCGTTTCATTAGATTGAGTTTTACCCTTCTCTTGAATCTCAGTGATCTTCATTCCTATCCATATTCTGATTTATATTTTTGTTCTTTCAGCCAGGTCAGTCTAGTTAATAATTCTTATTGGAGAATTGGTGTGGTCATCTAAAGGACATAAGACACTCTGGCTGTTTGAGTTACTGGAGTTCCTGTGTCGATCCTTTCCCATCTCTGTGTGTGAGTATTCCTTTAACTGCAGTATAGATTGAGTACAGTCAATAGGCTTCTGTATATTTTCACAGAGCCAAGGGTTTGTGCAGGGTCTTTATTTGAAGCTGAATATTGTCTTTGGTTTCACAAGGTGGTATATTAGCAATGTATTTTTTTGTGTTGAAGCTTTGGGATGTGATCCAGTAGGTGGCACTTAGGCATATTGGTCAGTTGCAGGGCTCTTGCTTGGTTTTGTGGCTCCCATGTTTCCTCACTGTTGCAGCTGTGTTCCCTCTCAATCCTCTGAAAGTGTGGGCTCCTCTCTGCCTTCAGTGCTGGAAGTAGACCACAGCTTGGCACTCAGGAGCTACCCACTGAAGTGCTGAGGCAATCTCAGGGATTTTGTTCCTTCCCCAACTTGGAGGCAGCAGAGGAAGGGACTTTAGTAGTGGTTGTGCCCAAGGGTCTTTTACTTGTCTCCTGGGGGCTGCACCCCAGAGAGATGCAGGTCAGCATTGCTCAGTGCAATCAGCCCAGATGGGGGGTCCATGCGGTAGGCCCAAACCAGGGGTTCCCTCTCTGGTGATGAGCAGGGAGGGTGGCTGTCTCCCATGGGAGATAGACTGGCTTCTTCTCCTTTGGTCAACTGCAGCTTGCTGAAGGTATGGATAAGACACTTAGAGTCTTTGCTCCTTCATTAGTCTGAGTGTAGCAATGGCAGTTCTACTGCAGAGGCAGTGGCAGAGAGGCTTTCAGTTGCCCCTGGGGATTCCATATTGTGGGGGTGCAGAGCTGCTACTGGCTCAATAGCCCCAGCAAGGGGTGTTGGAGGCCCAGGCCTGGAGGATCTGCCCAGTGAGGATATATGGGAATGGGCACCTAAGTAACAGTCTTGCCACTTTTCCATAGGGCTGCTGCAGTGTGCTGGGGGTCCATTACAGTCCTTAGCCACCTCAAATTTTCCAGTACCTGGAGGTATCAATGGTGAAGACTATGAAACAGCAAAGATGGTGGCCTGACCCTCCTTCTGGGAGCTTCATCCCAGGGATATACAGACCTGTTTCTGGCCCAAATGCACCTGTAGGAGGTAGCTAGAGACCTCGGTTGGGAGGTCCCACCCAGCGAGGAGAAATGGGATTGGAGGCCTGCTTAAAAAGCCATTTGGCCACGTTTTCGTAGAGCAACTGTGATGTGCTGGGGGTCTGCTCCACTCCTGGTCACCTTGGACTCTCTAAAGCCCCAAAGCCACAATGCCTAAGTCACCCAAACAACAAAGATGGTGGCTCACTTCTCCCTCTGGGACTCTGTCCCAGGGAGGTTTGAAATTTCTGTTGGCCAGAAAACACTGACAGGGGTAGCTGGAGGCTCCATTCAGAAGGTCCTACCCAGTGAAGAAGATTGGGATCACGACCTGCTTAAAACAGCAGTCTCACCACATTTCCATAGAGCAGCTCTGCTGTGTTGGGGGCTCATTTCAGCCCCGTCACCTCAGAAACTCCAAAACCCAAAGGCTGGAAGGGCTGTCACCAAACAGCAAAAATGGTGGCTCTCCCTCCCTCTAGGAGCTCTATCCTAGGGAGTTTTGAAACCTCTGTTGGCTATAGAACACTCACAGGGGTAGCTGGGACCCCGGTTAGGAGTTTCCCCCCGGTGAAAAGGAACGGGATTGGGGACTTGCTTTAAAAAGTAGTCTGTCCACATTTTCATAGAGCAGCTGTGCTGTACTGAGAGTCTTCTTCAATCCTCGATTGCCTCAGACTCTCCAAAATCTGAAGACTGGAATGGCTAAGTCAGCCAAACAACAAGGATGGCAGCCCACCCTTCCCCCTGGGAGCTGTCTCGGGGAGATGTAATGCTGCTATTCAGTGGCTGACTGGAGTTCCAAGCCAGTGGGTCTTATCCTGTGAGGTACTGTGGAAGCATGGCCTGCAGACTATTGCTGTTCAGTCCCTTGGATTCAGCCCCTTTTCTAGGGGTACGTACAAGGGTCTAACCTCCCACTTTGCTGGAGTTGCAGGTGCTTTTGCCCGAAAGCCCAGAAAGCCTGTGTATCTAAGCCTTCTGAATTTCCATGTGTACCCAAATGGCTGCTCTCCTGAGACTCCATGTAGCTCTGTGTGTCAGACCGAAGGCCCTGGTGGCTTGGGTTCATGAGGGGTCTCCTGATCCAAGGATTGCAAAGATCTGTAGGAAAAGCGTGGGTTCCTGGGGTTGCACATTCACTTACGGCTTCCCTGGGCAGGGGAGATTTGCCTGTCTCTGTTGCTCCTGGTGGACCATCATCCTAGCATGCTTTTCTCCATTCTCCGTGGATCCAGTTGTTTCCCTGATTAGTCCCAATGAGAGTACCTGGATGTTTCAGTTGAAGGTGGTGTATTTACTCACCTCTTCCATTCCTCTCTATGAGAGCAGTGCACACTAGCTGTTTCCAGTCAGCCATTTTGGCCGCCCCCCTGTTAATATGTTTTGTATTGTTAGGATAATTTCCTTAACAAACTCATTAGTTTTAAAATGGTATTGCTTTATTCTTGTTTATTTATTTTTCCTAGTGGTACTTATTATCACTTTGCTAAATGATTAATTTCTACTAATATTTTAATGGAATAAAAATACATGTATTGAATATTAAAAATTATTTTATATAAAATAAATATATTGATGTCTTTAGTATAGGTCATGTATTTTTTGTGCCCTTCAATAATACTTTTACTTCTCTTCATTGAGATACTCTACATTACTTTATAGAGGTTTTCTATAGTTATTGTTAGATTTACCCTTAGGTTAATTGGATTATTTTTCGTTGCATTCCCTACCATTTTATTTCTGATTAAGAAAGCCATTAACATTTTTATCAAATATTAGATGCATTTTAAAACTTTACTTGGTATTAATGGCAAATCAACTATTTTTTTTTGGCCTTGAAGTAGAAAATTTTGCTCTCAGCAATAATTACATGACATGTTTCTTCCAAGTACTTATATTTGATATTTTTTGTAATTGAATGGTAGGAACTTCAGAGAAATATTGTATAATGATTTACTATAGGCACCTTATTCTGTTTCCAGCATTTTGGAAAACTTCTATTGTTTGCTGATTCAGTATGAAGTTTTAAATGCTTTTTTAGTAGGTAAGGAAGTATCATACTCTGAGTACTATCAACAATGTTTATTTGTTTATATCTTACTATGGAAGTTGCTTGTGTTTTCACTTTAATTGGCCATAAATCAATTGTGCAAAGCTTTGCCACTTCTCCTAACATTTAATCATTGCCTTTTGTAATCCACAAATCCTTCGTTCATGCTCCACAATATTTTCCAGTATCCTTTTCTTTTGCTTGAAGTAATTCTTTTTTTTTTTTTTTTTTTTTAAGGGTTGTGGTCTTACTCTGTTGTCAGGCTACAGTGCAGTAGCACAACCATAGCTCACTGTAGCCACAACTTCCCAGGCTCAAGTGATCCTCCCTCTTCAGCTTCCAGAGTAGAAGAGCTGGGACTACAGGCATATGCCACCATGCCCTGATAATTTAGAACATTATTTTTGTAGAGACAGGATCTCACCATCTTGCCTAGGCTTGTCTTGAATTCCTGGGTTAAAGAGATTCTCTTCCTTCAGCCTCCCAAAGACAAACTTTGCATGTTCTCACTTATTTGTGAGAGCTAAAAATTAAAACAACTGAACTTCTAAAGACAGAGAGTAGAAGAATGGTTACCTGAGGCTGGAAAGGGTAGTGGGAGGGTGGGGAAGATTAATGAGTTCAAAGAATAGTTAGAAAGAATGAAAAAGACCTATTATTCACTAGCACAAAAGGGTAACTATAGTCAAAAATAACTTAATTGTACATTTTAAGATAACCAAAAGAGTATAACTGGATAGTCTATAACACAAAGGATAAATGCTTGAGGTTATAGATATCCCATTTATCCTGATGTAATTTTGTAATATCTTTTCAATAGTTCATTGTCAATATTGTTCAGTTAATGTTTTATTCCATATTTGATTGCTTTTACTTTTCAGCCATTTTGGCTTTTGCTCTATTTAGTTAAATTATTCTATATAAGAAATGGAGTATTGAGATCTGAGAGTTAGGATTCAGGACTTAAGATCTAGACTATCAAAATCTCAGATTCTGTTTCTGTACCCACCACATGAATAACAGAACCTAACTAAGATGATTGACATATGTTAATCATCATTGAAGCTGGGATAAAGTGCAAAAACCTTCTGATTTGGCAAGTTTTGAATGGAGCACATGAATCTTTATAGTCACCCCAGGTGAAAGAATTCAATCAATTTGCTTATCTGTAAAAGAGAAGAGCTGTGATTTAGAAAGGCTAAAATACATTGATAAAAGGGAGCTCAAACTCATATTTATAGCAGCATTATTCACAATACCCAAAAGGTAGAAGAAACCCCAGTGTTTATTGATGGATGAATGGATAAACTAAATGTGATAGCCATTTTGTAATATATAAGTATTTTATAATATCGTGTATCTTAAATATGCAAAATAAAATTTATTTTTAAAAAGGTTATATATACATTCTATGAAATGTTCTTCAGCTTTAAAAAAATGGAAATTCTCTCACATGCTACAACACAAATGAACCTTGAGGACATTATGTTAAATAAAATAAGGCAGTCACAAAGGACAAATACCGTTTGATTCCAATTTTAAGAGATATCGAGAGTAGCAAAATTCACAGAAACAGAAAATAGAATAGTGGTTGCCAGGGGCATAGGACAAAGGGAAATAGTAGGTTTTGGTTTTGCAGACAAAGAAGTTCTGGAGATATTGTAGTTGCACAATAATATGAATATAGTTAGCACATTGAACTGTACACTTAAAAATAAGATGGTAAATTTTATGTTGTTTGTATTTTACTACAATAAAACAAATTTAAAAGGGCTCAGTGGTAAGAATATAATTTCTCGATTCATACTTTTGCTGTTGAACAGCACCATGAAAAGATGATATGCTCTATATAATAATAAATTGTTACCACAGCCATACTGAAAAAAAATTAATTAAGGAGATAGTCTATCTCTCTTTGAGCAACAGACTTCAGGGAGTTGTTCTATCTGTAGGGCTTACCCATCAAAGAGAAGATGTGAATGCAGGCCAGTTGAATAGGATTCTGGATCAAAGGTAGTATAATTAGAGGAAAATTCTCTGATCTCAATGATCAAAAAGCTCCTCAGAGTGGCACACAACATTGGAGTATAAAAGCGCATGAATAATCTTGCATTTAGCATTTTTATTCAACATTACATTTCCCAGATTGCTTTTCTTAGATTAAAAAATAGATAAAGCTCTAAACCTAGGTATTGAGTCACCCTCTAGATCTAGCAGCAACTTACAGAAAAAACTCCATTCTGTAGTTTATCAGCACCTTTCTAGGAGCTCCCTATATATTTATAGCTTGCTGATTCACAGTTCCCAGGTTTAGATTCTGTGCTAGTTAGTCAGTTTATGCATTAGAAGTGCCACACTGACCCACATGAACTAAACCGATTTATTAGCATATGAAGAAAATAAAAGAGGAAAAAAATCCTTGGGAATTCATCAAACATAATCCTGGGAACTACATGATCATGGAAACTGCTACCCTGATAACTGAACAATTCACATCTCAAATAAAAATATTAAATTAGTTCGACTATAAAGACAAGTAGAGAAAGGCACAAGGGTATGACTGTAGGCTGTGTACATAGGCATGTACTTGTGCGATTAACAAACCATGAAAATGCACTACTTTGTTCATATCCCAAGTACTACAAGTTTTTAATTTTGCTTACTTATACAGAAAAGTAAGGTGAATATATTTTCTGGAATTTTTCAATTTTTTAAAAAAATTTCAGAAACAAAAAATAAAATAAAAATGAGCAATTATGCTCAGTTTCCTCACTCTGATCTTTTCTGACCACTATTAATTCAATTTAATATACCTTTTCATGTCTATACACAAACACCAGCTGGATAAATGAGTAATGTTAAGTTCCTGCTCTTGAGAATTTTATAATTTATCAGAGGAAGAGGTACAGAAGAATCTGTCAAACTTAGCTATATATTAAAATCACCTAGGGAGCTTTTATAAAATGTGGATGCTCAGTCCCCAATCCCAGAGGTTTTGATTTAATTTATCTGTGTTTGAGCCTCTTAAAAACATATATAAATTCCCCCAGATAGTGTTAATGTGCAGAATGAAAAAAGTAGTTCTCAACAAAGCCTGGTTCAAAATAGGATCGCTCCGGATCAATGTGGTGGATTAAATATCCTCAACTTTCTCCTTTCTTTTCTAACACTTGGTTAAAATACAAATATATATATATATGTATGTGTGTGTGTGTGTGTGTATATATGTATACATATATACACACACACATATATATATATACACACACACACATATATATACACACACACATATATACATATTAATAGTAGTCCTTAAAAAGTAAGAAAATATGTCACAGGGTGACCAGGCTTCCATCGGAATTGCTAGAATGCAGATGAAATCATTTTGTTGGAGATAACAGAGTAGAGGGAATCACAGCTCAAAACAGAGAAAAGACAAGATTCAGAGCAGTTTTTCCCTAGGTTGTCTCAGAGAAAATCTCAGTTTGTAGTCAAGATATGGAAGAAATATAAAATGAAAAAAAAAGAATTTTTCAAAAAAGTGCATCCAGAATAGCAGGCCAGTTTTGCCTCTTCTCCCCTGTGTATAGAGAAGGGAAGCAATTCCCCAGATAAAATACAATAACTGCTCTCTAAAAAAAAAAAAAAAAAAGGATTTAGGAGTGCTCCTGCTGGGAGTGTTAATCCTGCTGGGAGGTCCAATCACACAAGAATTGGACCTCTAGTTATTCTGTACCTCTTCATCATGTGCAAAGTAAGGAATGTTAAAAAAACAAAAACAAAAACAAAAAAAAAAACAAAGCACGTATTTCTGTACGAGTGAAATAAACTAAAATATTCCACACATAGAGTAAACCTCTCCTTATTTTGGCAGTTATAGAAATATCCAAACTGTCTTCTCATTCTATTTATTTTATTTTCACTTCTGTTTAATGCAATCCTAAACCCATTTATGTTTTCATTTTTATGTATTATATATTCGTTTCTAGAATCTCGACTTCATTCTTTTAGGACTACTGTCTTCCACGAGTGGATAGATTTTTTTACCCTGCCGATACATTTATTGTGTTCTTTATTTATTTAAATGGAGTAAAGAAAGTAATTTTGTGAGTCTAGTCATTCCAAAATTTAAAGATTTCACAGGTCTATTTCTATTGTAGGCTGTTTTTTACTGGTTTTAACTCAAAATACCTTGTTTCCTTGTGTGTTTATCTACTAGCATGTCTTTGTTATTGCCTATAAAACCCATGTGATGAGTCCCTGAAACCTAGGCTAAAGTACCTTCTTTTTATAGACAACTTATATTTGTTTCTCTCAATGGTACTTAGGCCCCATCACCAGTGTGGGAACAGTAAATAATAATATATTAAAGTTTCAAATAGTTAGAAATAAGATGCTGAATGTTTTCATCACAAATAAATGATAAATGTTTAAGACAATGAAGGTGCTAATCACCATGATCTGATCACTATACAATGTGTGTATTGAAACATTACTATGTGCCCCATAAATATGTACAATTACTATATGTCAATTTAAAAAAGTAATCCTAAATCCCGGTGATGTGAATCCCAGGTCTACAAATCCAAATAACATCAACTAACGAATAAATTTTCTTAAGGGAAAATCCTCTGTCTGTCTTTCTGCCCTTATTCTGCTCAGAGTCAAGTAAACTCTCCCTGAAATTCTCTGGAAGTGTGAGGAGGAATATGGATTTACCTTTCTTACTCTTTTTCAACATGAAGTAATGACTCAGAGTCCAAGTTCAATGCTGAAATAAAGAGAGTCTAGTAAACTCAAGCAGAACTTTAGATATCTGTCTCTATTTTCCATACATGTAACTCGCTTTCATAATTTATTCTTCAAGCAAAATTGACTTAAATTGCTTTGCTTATACCTCTGAATTTCAGCTTTCTCTTAAAGTTTGGCCTGGTAATTTCTTACTAGCTTGTCAGTTTTTATAAGATAATTTTTAAGATCTCCTACCTAGCATTTTGTTTGTTCTCTATCAACTTAATTTTCTGAAAAGCATAGTTGATTATAACTGAAAATATTGATTAGAACATTGACACATACTTTGTTCTTGATTAATATTTGCATTTGTATGTACATTGCAGCACTATTTATAATAGGAAAGACATGGAATCAGCATAGGTGCCCATCAATGGTAGAATGGATAAAGAAAATGTGGGTACATATAAACCATGGAATACTACACAGCCATAAAAAGGATGAAATCATGCTCTTTACAGTGGCATGGATGCAGCTGGAGGCCATTATCTTAAGCAAATTAATGCAGAAACAGAAAATCAAATACCACATGTTCTCACTTATAAGTGGGAAGTAAACAATGGGTACACATGGACACAAAGATGGAAAAAGTAGACACTGGGGAATACTAGAGGTTGGAGGGTAAGATAGGGGCAAGGGTTGAAACACTATTGAGTATTACACTCACTACCAGGGTGACAGGATCAATCATACCCTAAACCTCAGTGTCACATAATATACCCATGTAGCAAACCCGCATATGTACCCCATGAATCTAAAATTAAAGTTGAAATTCTATTTTTAAAAAATTAAAAAATAAAGGCATATCTCTGCAGCAGTACCTGGGGCGAGGCACCCTTTCCCTACCAGTTTACAAAAAAAAATTTAAATTAAAATTAAAAATAAAAGTAAATAAATACATTTTTAGTCTCTCTTAGACACATTTTAACATACCACTACCCCTTTATAATGGCTTTTTAGTTGAATGTGTGCATAAGTGTATGTAGGGCACATGTGAGCATGCTTGTATATATTCAGACCTTAACTGTAATACAACTCTGTGCCTTTGATAAGGCACTGATTGCCTTTGGACCAATTTTCTTAGTTGTAAATTGAAGCAGTAGAATTAAGTGATCTCAAATATCTGCTCTAGTTTTATGAACTATATTTCTATGATATAAAGGTTGCATTTTGAAGTAATGACTGTCTTTTATCCTTTATATCTCTTCTATAATTTTCCAGGCCAAGATATTTTTCACAAAGTCCTGGGGAAAAAAAATCTCAAAAACAAATAGAAGTGGTTCCTTACTGCTATAAAATAAAGGTCAGCTCCTTTGCACATGCATGAGACACCAGGTGCCATGGATCCTGTCTGCCTTGCCAGGTTCACCCTTTACTGTTCCTTGCCACACAATTTCTGCTGTAGAAACAACATATTGATTCATGCTTCTTTTCCTCTCTCCATCCTTTTTACTGCATTTCTTTGTTTAACCTAACTCCTCTTCATCCTTTCAGATCAGCCCAGGTATCCTCTCTTTCAAAATTTCTTCAAATTCTAGGACAGGCTTGGTGTTTTCTCTGAGAGATTATGCTATCATAGCACTTACTTAACATTATGCTGAAACCACCTGCTTCTGTTAACCATCCCTGATACAAGCCTGGAAACTCCCTGAAGACAACACTTGTCATTTATCTTTGTAGCCTCAACATAAATAATGTATAATTGCTAAAAGAAGATTAAATCTGATTTTCTCCTCATTAGGTAGTGACTTTTATTTCTGACTTTCAATATGTTCTACATCAATACAAACTTTATTGTTTTATCCATATTTTATTAATTATTTTAATACTGAATTATCGATTGCTTCTAACAGTAGGACTTCGGCATTTTACTAATCTCTTAAATATGACGTTTTATATGATGGTCAATATTTCTTCTGAAAAACATACATTCAATTTTGTAATTAGTTTATACTGCTGAGATAGGAAAAAAGATTCAAAATTTTTTTGGAAATTTACTATGCTGAAAAAATTAGACTAATAGGTTCATTTCATACATTGAAATGTATCTGAGAATTGTGCCATTTTGTATGAGATGGATAACAATTTTATGTACTGTTTAATTATTCTATTATTAATAATTGAATAATTAAAACATAGCTATAATTTATTAAGTACTTATTTTATTTCAGATACTCTTCTAAAAGTTTTAAACATAACTCAGGTGATACCTACAACAATGTTATTAGTGCTAGTAGCATTGTCTTTATTTTATAGAAATTTACACTTAACAGAAATTCACTTTACAGAAAATTAAATAGAAGCCTTTCTTAGTGACTAGTTGTCCGTGAATTTTTTATTTGAACCTAGTATACCTACTGAAGTGGATTAATTTAATTGTTAATCAACTGAAAAATAATAATGGTATTAGATATATATAGTAAAAGAGTATCTTGCTAGGGTAGTGTGGAGGGAAGATAAGGAATTAAAGCATACATCCTAACCTTTAGGGGTTTGCTATCTTATAGAGGAAACAGCGTATAAAAATCTGCTGTTTCATGAGTTATTCATTTTTTTTATTGCTTAGATATTTAAGGAATGTCTAAGTCATTGTTTTTTGGTACATTTTCAAGAATAAACATAGGAAAAAATTAAATTATAATTAATTCAAATAGTAAGGTTTGCTTGTAGAAAAAAATGTGTTTTTTCCCATCACTTTGAAAATGCTAGTGATAGTTTCCTTTGCCATGTCAAAGATTTTTAGCTTGATGCAGCCCCATTTGTCCATTTACTTTTGTTGCCTATGCTTTGGGGTCCTACACAACAAATCATTGCCCAGACCAATGCTGTGGAATTTTCACCCTTTGTTTTCTTCCAGTAGTTTTACAGTTTCAGGTCTTAGATTTGAGTCTTTAATTCATTTTTAGTTGATATTTGCATATGGTGTGCGAACCCCGAATATCTGAAACAGATCTCAGTTGATTTAGAAAGTTTATTTTGCCAAGGTTGAGGATGTGCACCCGTGACACAGCCTCAGGAGATAGTGACAACATGTGCCCAAGGTGGTCAGAGCACAGTTTGATTTTATACATTTTAGGGAGACATAAGCCATCAATCAACATATGAAAGCTGAACATTGGTTCGGTCTGGAAAGGTGGGACAACTCAAAGCAAAGGCGGGACAACTAGAAGTAGGGAGGGGGCTTCCAGGTCATAGGTAGAAAAGTGACAAATGGTTGCATTCTTTTGAGTTTCTGATTAGCCTCTCCAAAGGAGCCAATCAGATGTGCATTTATCTCAGAGAGCAGAGGGGTGACTTTGAATAGAATGGGAGGCAGGTTTGCCCTAAGCAGTTCTCAGCTTGACTTTTCACTTTAGCTTAGTGATTTTGGGACCCCAAGATTTATTTTCCTTTCACAAGTGTGTGGCAAGGGTCCAATTCCATTCTTCTGCATACAGATAAGAGCACAGTGAATCTACAATCTACAGAATGAGAGAAAATATTTGTAATCAATATGTCTAATAAAATGGAAATATCCTAAATAAACAAGAAACCCAAAATTCTCAACAGCAAAATAAATAAATAAATAAATAAATAAATAAATAAATAAATAAATAAATAAATGAAAAGACCTGGGCAAAGAACCTGAATACTGAATAGACATGTCTCAAAAGAAGCTATGCAAATAGCTAACAGTCAAATGAAAATATGTATCATCACTAATCATTAGGGAAATGCAAATTGCTTGAACTCGGGAGACAGAGCTTGCAGTGAGCCGAGATCACGCCACTGCACTCCAGCCTGGGTGACAGAGCAAGACTCCATCTCAAAAAAAAAACAACAAAAAAAACCATAGATACCACCTACACCTGTCAGAACAGCTATTTTCTTTCTCTTTTTTTAAATTTTTGTTATTTTGCTTTAAGTTCCGGGATACACTGCAGAATGTACATGTTTGTCACATAGGTGTATGTGTGCCATGGTGGTTTGCTGTGCGTATTGACCCGTCATCTAGGTTTCCTCCCCTCACCCCCAATCCCTCAACAGGCCCAGGTGTATGTTAGAACATCTGTTTTCAAAAAGACAAAATATAAAAACAAATGTTGGCAAGGATATGGAGAAAAGGAAACCCTGTTCACTGTTGGTGGGAATGTAAATTAGCACAGTCACTAAGGCAAACAAGGTGGAGGTTCCTCAAAAGACTAAAACATAGACCTACCATATGATCCAGCAATCCCATTGCTGAGTATATATCCAAAAGAATGGAAATCAACATATTGAGGAGATAGTTGCACTTGCATGTTTATCGTAGCACTATTCACAATAGCCAAGCTATGGTATCAGTCTAAGCATCCATTAACAAATGAACGGATAAAGAAAATGTGGCATATCTACATAATGTAATTCCAGTCAGCCTTTAGAAAGAAGGAAATCTTGTCCTTTCAAAATAGGACAAGTATACTTAGTATACTGAAGGACAGTATACTAAGTTAAATAAGCTTGGCACAGAAAAGCAAATATCACAAGTTCTCAATTACATGTAGAATCTAAAACAATCAAACTCATAGAAGCAAAAACTGAATGCTGGTTATCAGAGTGGGGGTTTGGGGAAATAGTCAAAGGGTATGAAGCTGCAATGAGACAGGAAGAATAAATGTTAAGTATTTAAAGTGATGGATATGTTAATTAGCTTGATTTAATCACTCCATACTCTGTATATACATGATAACATCACTTTGTATCCCATAATTATAAAACCGGTCAAAAAATAAAAATTAAATAAAAATCATAAAATACTGATAATAAACATTTGATAAGATTAATACTGAATAACAATATTTTTACTCATCTAGCCGCTTCATTTATAAATAAAAATTATAAGATTAATAATGTTGATAAATGTTGAAGGTGAACCTCAGCTGAGCTTCCCCAAGGACTGTCAAAAGCATAAGGATTATTGTTAAAAGAACAGTGTTTTTTGGACGTGCACTTTGATAGTCCCAGTTATTATGGTACAAGTCATTCAATTTAATTGATTTAAACTGAACCATCTGCTGTCTAATTGGCTCATAGCCAGTGGGATTTATGTTAGTAAATGAGTATCAGAGAGAGAAATAATACTAATGGGAAGTTTATGTTTCACTAAGAATTTCTTCTAGTGAATCACTTGAAACTGGAAGGTGGAGGTTGCAGCAAGCCGGGATCGCACCACTGCACTCCAACATGGGCAACAAGAGCAAAATTCCGTCTCAAAAAAAAAAATAAATATAAAAGAATGTCTCCTTGTTCATCAACAAAAATTAAACATATTAAAATGTATGCAAATCAAAAAGCCTACTTTCAAGACTTCTTCTAAACAAGATAGAATAAGTAGGATTAGATATATCCTCCTGCCCAAAACATTTTTAAAATGCACAAAATAAATGAAACAAAGGTTTTGAAGACATTGGATATTAGACAATGACAGCAACAACAGAGATAGTAAATAAACAATGTGAGCTCTCTGATTGTCCCAGTATACTTTCTGAAGAGGTTTCCAGGTGGCAACGAAAGAGGAAAACCAGATAGAGCCTATGTCTTGAAGAGACATAGTAGGGAACGTAGGGAAGACAAAGTTGATAGAGTTTGCAATGCAGAGTACCAGAAAGAAGAGAGCTGCCCAGACAGAGACCTCTAGAGATCTGGAAGAGTTCTCCCCGAGTCATGAGCCGAATACTAATCAGCACAGGAACACGGGAAAACAATTTGAGACCAGAGAAAGAAATGCGTGAAAAGACAGAGGTAACAATCCTTTGTACTTACACAGGGCTGGAAAAGTAAATCGTCATTTCCACTAACTAGAGTACAAATCCTAATAATTCACAGGGTATTGGGTAGAGTACGTTAAAAATTTGTGCCTCAATTGTGGAGCAAAATTAGCCATAGGTCAAATTCTGCTGTGGTCCTGCCTAACAAAATTTAAAGGCAATAAGCAGATACAAACTGCAAGAAATGTTAAAGGAATTCCCACAGGTAGATGGAAAATAATCCAGATGAAAATAAGCATTTGCAGAAAGGGGTGATTTTGTGCCTCATTATAGGTCACATTTTTCTGCTTCCTTTGCATGCCTTGGGATTTTGCATCACATATAGAACTGAAAATTCAACTTTGTTGGGTTCTTGATTATTTATTTTTCTTTTTTTTCTGCATTTTACAAATACTCTTGAGCTTTTTTCTGGAATATTATTGATTTGTTGACAACAGTTTAATCCTTTTGGGTTTTCCCTTTAGCATATGCTAAAAGCCCATACAGAGGAACAATAGTATAAAATACCTCCTAAGAACATTTCTGCTTTGCTGTTTGAAATGAAGGCCAATTTATCACTACTGTGATGATTGTCTCATAGAATATTTTACCAAATGTTTATTTGAGATTATCTGATGTCATGATAGCCATGATCATGATGTCAGACAGCCATGGTGGCTTTCTTAGATCATGCCCTCACAGACCTTGCAACCTGACTATTCCTATCTGTTGTTTGTGGAATTGGCAAGCAAATTTTGCGCACCTGTGACAGAATTCTTGATATTCTTCATGGATTTTGTCATTCTGTTCAATGAGAGGTTCTTGCATGAGGACTTTAATCATTAATATTGAAATATAAAACTAAAAAAAAATGAAATGAAAATTTGGTACTGGATTACCCCAAATATTTATTTTGGACATGAGTACTTCTCAAACTACAGAATTACAACCCTCAAGTTTTCTTCACCAACAAGGATATTGTAACACAACAAAAGAGAAAGTTGATATATTTCAGTAAGTTACTGGAAAGTGTGGTGTCCTCAGTTCTTAGTCTTCTTGGGAGACTTTGCTTGTTAAACAAAGAAAGCAGAGAATTTATTGAAGAAATAAAGACCAGAGAGTTTATTGAAGGAAGTAGACTCCAAGAGAGGAGTGAGCTGACTAGGCTGGGAGCAGCGACAGTAGCAGCAAGGGTTAAGTGTCAGCAGAGATTATTTAAAGAGGCAGAATAGGCTGCTTGGAAGAGAATGGACCAGCAACCTTGAGAGTTCTATGTTGTGGTTTTTATTATGTCACACTCTTTCTTTAAGTTTGCACCTCTGTATTAAGTCTCTGCCTTTGTCTGTGTCTGGTTTCCCATTTCTGCCTTAAGTCCCTGCCTTTTCCCCCACCTAGTTCCCACCCCAGGTTTGTAGGATTCTCCCTTACTGTCAGTTGATGCACATGTGCAGGCCCAGGGATCAATACAAATCTTACCTAATGGCAGTGTGGTTCATTACCAACATCCCAGGAAGGTCGTATAAACAGCAGTTAAATCTGTGGTTATAGTGCCTTTGTTTCTCTTAGGAATTTCCCCTTTGCCCTTTTCCCCTCCTTATCAGCATGTAGCTGACTACATTCTCACAGTTCAATCATAGAATGAGTGATTACTGGGCATCTTAAGAGGCATTTTGGAGAGTTCCTTCTTACATTGGTAATTTCCCTTCTCTCTGCTCATACCTAGCATGCATGTTTTGGGTGGTCTCTGGGCTATGAGATTTTCCAAAGCTTACTTTTGTAGGGACTCCCCTTCTTGCTCAGTCTAACTATCTGCCTGTTCTAACAAATACATATTACACTACAGGTGAGATGGCTAGATTATGGAAAGATAACTCTGATTAATTTACCCAAGAGTAAAATTATTCTGAGGCAAGGAGGATAATCCCTGACTACTGATCCAAATGGTAAGATGTAATAGGCAATGGGTGTGTCACATTGCTGAGTTTATACCTCTAGAGCATAATCTAATACTTTCATATACATTTAAAAAACATTTATGAAATTTTGGGAAGAATCCTTCTGAATTTTTATGTGTGCCATGTTGCTGATCTTACATACCTACAATGTGTCCTAATTTTTGCATATACATAAAAACAAAACTTTTTGATATTCTAGAAAATAAATCTACATTCATATGAGTTTTCTCCAATTGTTCTGTTCTCCAATTATTATTGTGGAGTTTTTGCACATTGGGATTATTTGAAAATAATTCTAGACTCATAACTCATCCATGGTCTGGGTACTATGGGATGTCTAGATTGGTTATAATCTGCTCATTTGTTAATATTTAGGGATCTTCTAAAAATAATTCTTTCACAGTTTGTTTCATCTGGAACCTCAGTGTCCAAAGTATATGCATAAAAGTTACACGGTTTCTAACACAGAGAATAAAGAAATTTCCTCTGATAATATTGACAAATTAATAATTATAGGAAAGACACTGAAAGAGACTAAGGATTGTTATAAATTTTCAAGACTTGGAGTGTTTTCTGTTAACCAAGGCAAATAAAGTTCAGTTTACCTCAAGGATTTACTATTTATTTTAAGTCTCAACATTCACTTTTTCTATATATTCCTTTACTTCTTGTACAATCAGACAATTTTATTTCACCTGGAGAGCCATACATTATCATTTATAGTTGGTTTATATTCTTCTAAATCTCTTTGAATTATACAGCCACTTTTGGAGGTTTTGTAAGTTGGTAATTTCTCTTTCCAATTTAGATTTTCTGTTTCCCTTCTTTTGGGCCTGTGAACATTTACAAACAGAGAACAAGGATCCCTTTAAACTGCTCTTGACTGTACTTCAGGATACTCTTTGAAAATGTTCTAAAATCTATTTTCTTTTTATTTTTATATATTGAAAAAGTTTTCTTAAGTAGTTGTGAAAATGCATTACATTGAAAATTTTCAATTTTTTTCTTGTATTTCAAGGCCATTTTTGAATTATGCACATCTGGGTTATTTAAATCATTTTCTGGTCTCTCCCATTCTGCTGTTTATGACATTTTTTTTCCAGAAAAGGGGTTAACAATTAAGTAAACTCATTGACATAGATATGATTGTCCAGAAGGTTTTTTAAAAATCCATAAATTATAGTACTTAACATGGCTTTAGACTGGGATTTAAAAGCAATCTGAAACTTCACATTCTTGCCATGATGTTATAAGAAGGATTAGATTTACCATCCTGCTGGGAAACAAAACAAAACAAAAATAAAACAGATGTCTTTCAGACATTGACTTTTAAAAGACATCCCTCAGGACTTTGATTTTTCAGAGAAGTGAAGCAGTTGAGACTAATCTTGTAACTGTTCTGGTTTGCTTCCTAGACAAAATTTCAAAAGCACATGCACAGAGAGGTAAATCCAAAGCCCCCAAGCAACCTCATGGAGGTGAAGAATGTAAATGGGGAAAAGGGAAGGTTGAGGCAGCTGGAAATTGTAGGGGCAGAGATCTTGAAAAGAGAGGGCACTATATCATTTCTTAGGTCTAGTAGTAATTGTTTTATAAATTTAGGAGCCCCAGTGTTAGGTGCATATATATTTAAGATTGTGATACTTTCCTGTTGGACAAGACCTTTTATTATTATGTAATGTCCCTCTTTGTCTTTTTTAATTACTGTTGCTTTAAAGTTTGTTTTGTTTGATATAAGAATAGCTACTCCTACTTGCTTTTGGTGTCCATTTGCATAAAATGTCTTTTTCCACCCCTTTACCTTAAATTTATGTGAGTCCTTGTGTGTTAGGTGAGTCTGTTGAAGGCAGCAGATACTTGGTTGGTGAATTCTTATCCAATCTGCCATTCTGTATCTTTTAAGTAGAGCATTTAGGCCATTTACATTCATTTAGTATTGAGATGTGAGGTACTATTCTATTCATCCTGCTATTTGTTGTTTGCATATCTTGGTTGTTTGAGTTTTTTTGTTGTTGTGTTGTTGTTGTAATTGTTGTGTGTGCATATTGTTGCATTATAGGTCCTGTGAGATTTATGCTTTAAAAAAGTTCTGTTTTGATGTATTTCAAGGATTTAGTTCAAGGCTTAGAGGTCCTTTTAGCAGTTCTTGTAGTGCTGGCTTGGTAGTGGCATATTCCCTTAGCATTTGTTTGTCTGAAAAAGACTGTAACTTTCCTTCCTTTATGATGCTTAGTTTCACTGGATGCAAAATTCTTGGCTGATAATTGTTTTGTTTAAGGAGGCTAAATATAGGGCATCAACCCCTTCTAGTTTGTAGGTTTTCTGCTGAGAAATCTGCTGTTAATATGATTGGTTTTCCTTCACAGGACCCCCTATTCAACAAATGGTGCTGGGATAATAGGCAAGCCACATGTAGAAGAATAAAACTGAATCCTCATTGCTCACCTTGTGCAAAAATCAAGGTGGATCAAGGACTTACATCTAAAACCTGGAACCATAAAAATTCTAGAAGATAACATTGGAAAAACCCTTCTAGACATTGGCTTAGGCAAAAACTCCATGACCAACAACCCCAAAGCAAATGCAACAAAAACAATGATAAACAGGTGGGGCTTAATTGAACTAAAAAGTTTCTGCACAGCAAAAGAAACAATCAGCAGAGTAAACAGACAACCCACAGAGTGGGAGAAAATCTTCACAATCTATACGTCTGACAAAGGACTAATATCCAGACTCTACAAGAAACTCAAACAAATCAGCAAGAAAAAACAATCACTTCAAACATTGGGCTAAGGACATGAATAGACAATTCTCAAAGGAAGATATACAAATGACCAACAAACATATGAAAAAATGCTCAGCATCACTAAGGATCAGGGAAGTGCAAATTGAAACTACAATGCAATACCAACTTACCCCTGCAAGAATGGCCATAATCAAAAAATAAAAAAATAATAGATGTTGGTGGGAATGTAGTGAAAAGGAAATGCTTTAACACTGCTTGTGGGAATGTAAACTAATATAACCACTGTGGAAAACGGTATGGAGATTCCTTAAAGAACTAAAAGTAGAACAACAGTTTGATTCAGCAATCCCCCTACTGGATATCAACCCAGAGGGAAAGAAGTCATTATACAAAAAAAGATACTTGCACACACATGTTTATAGCAGCACAATTTGCAATTGCAAAAATATGGAACCAGCCCAGATGCCTATCAGTTAATGAGTGGATAAAGAAATTGTGATATATATATATCCCATGTGATATATATAATATATATATATATATATATATATATATATATATATATATATATATACACACACACACACCATGGAATATTATGTGGCCATAAAAAGGAACAAAATATTGGCATTCTGGCTTTCGCAGCAACCTGGATAGAATTGGAGACCATTATTTTATGTTAAGTAACTCAGGAATGTAAAACTGAACATAGTATGTTCTCACTTATAAGGGGTAGCTAAGCTATGAGGATGCAAAGTCATAAGAATGATAAAAGGGACTTTGGGAACTGGGGGAAAGATTGGGAGTTGAGGTAAGGGATAAAAGAGTACAAATCGATACAGTGTATACTGCTCTGATGATGGGTACACCAAAATCTCACAAATCACCACTAAAGAACTTACTCATGTAACCAAACACCACCTGTTTCCCAAAAACCTATGGAAATTTAAGAAGAGAGAGAGCTATGCAGACAAGAGCTTCAGAAATCTAACTACAGTGCCCTTTTATATCATTGTTGAATACTCAGATATGCAAGTGTGGAGTAAAACTCCATGAGGCCAGGCAAAAAAAGCAACCAAGTATCTATAAGAAAAAATTTCCAGAGCTCACACAAGGCAAGCTCTAACAACATATATTGAACTCCACCTAGCCAGAGTGAAGAGTTCTTGATTATTTAGCATATTTAAGAGAGTAACTTTTCATCAGAGGCGACAGTATCTTAGTAATTTGGACAAATTATCAGTGGAATAAAGGCAACTCTAGACTGCTCCCAGAAAAGCTTTAAAAAATGACTCAAAGGGATGACACTCATCTATAAGTAACCAACTTCCTGTCAAAACAAAGCCTAACAATTTTTAAAGGAAGAAAACAAGAATCCAGCCATACCAACATCAAATCTGTAATGTTTAGCATAAAATAAAAAATGACTGCTAAGTAAAAAAAATGTAATCCAAAGCAGGAGAAAAATAATCAAATACAACTATAAATGACATAGATAATGGAACTAGCAAATACATTAAGCAGTTATTATAAATATGTAAACATATGTAAAGAATAACATGAACAAAATAAAAGGGTAAATAGAAATTTAAAAAACAAACAACTAGATAGAACTTCTAGAGTTGAAAACTAATGTCTAAATGAAACTTTAACTAGATAGGATTAACAACACATAAGACATTACACAAGAAAATATCAGTAAATATTCAAATTTAGCAAGGAATCTATTAAAATTGAAAAATAAAGAGAATGAAATAATTTGTTTCAGTAACCCATGGAACAAAATAAATTTATGTGCAGACATGGAATAGGAATTCCAAACAGGGTAAGGACAGAGAAATAAAAAAAAAAAAAATTGAAGAAATAGAGGTTACTATATTCCCAAATTTAAATAAAGTTACAATGCTAACTCAACACCTAGAAAGATTTTAAAATGCCTATAAAAATAAAACAAAGCACATCAAAATAAAATTGCTAAAAACCTATGATAGAGAAAATATTAACAGTATCCAGAGAAAAAAGACAAATTATATAAGAAAAACAAGGATTAAAATGTATGCATATTGGTTGTGCAGTAGTGCTAGTGGCTTCGCAATTTGGTCCTCAGACCTGGCAGCCGCCACTGGTGCTGAGCTGGTAGGAAGCCCCTGTCGGTGAGCTCGTTGGAGCTTGAACCCATTGTCACCCCTCTGACTCACCAGCAAAAAAATAAATAAATAAATAAAAATAAATTTAAAAAAAATGGTTGAAGCAGATTGCCCAGAAAAGTTCTTCATTGGTGGGCTTAATATGGAAACTAATGAGAAAGCTCTTGAAGCACCATTTGGCAAATATGGACGAATAGTGAATAGTGGAAGTACTCTTGATGAAAGACTGTGAAACCAACAAATCAAGAGGATTTGCTTTTGTCACCTTTGAAAGCCCAGCAGACACTAAGGATGCAGCCAGAGACATGAATGGAAAGTCATTAAATGGAAAAGCCATCAAAGTGGAATAAGCCACCAAACAATTATTTGAAAGTGGTAGACGTGGACTGCCTCCACCTCCAAGAACTAGAGGTCCTTCAAGAAGTCTGAGAGGTGGAAGAGGAGGAAGTGGAGGAACCAGGGAACCTCCCTCATGGGGAGGACACATGGATGATGGTGGATATTCCATGCATTTTAACATGAGTTCTTCCAGGGAACCACTCCTAGTAAAAAGAGGACCACGACCAAGAAGTGGGGGTCATTCTCCTAAGAGATCTGCACCTCCTAAGAGATCTGCACCAGTTCACAGCAGCAGTGAATGGAAGGAAGAGCTCCTTTATCACGTGGAAAAGATAGTTAGGGAGGTCCACCTCGAAGGGAACTGCCGCCCTCTCGTAGAGATGTTTATTTGTCCCCAAGAGATGATGTGTAGTCTACTAAAGACAGCTCTTCAAGCAGAGATTACCCAAGTTCTTGTAATACAAGAGATTATGCACCACCACCACGAGATTATACTTACCGTGATTACAGTCATTCCAGTTCATGTGATGACTATCCATCAAGAGGCTATAGCGATAGAGATGGATATGATCATGATCATGACTATTCAGATCATCCAAGTGGAAGTTCCTACAGAGATTCATATGAGAGTTATGATAACTCACATAGTGCTCCACCTACACAAGGGCCCCCACCATTTTATGCTGGAAGCAGTCGCTATCATGATTACAGCAGCTCACGTGACGGATATGGTAGAAGTCGAGACAGTTACTCAAGCAGCCGAAGTGATCTCTATTCAAGTGGTCTTGATCGGCTTGGCAGACGAGAAAGAGGGCTTGCCCCTTCTACAGAAAGGGGGTACCCTTCTCCATGTGATTCCTACAGCAGTTCAAGCTGCAGAGCACCAAGAGGTGGTGGCCGTGGAGGAAGCCGATCTGATAGAGGGGGAGGCAGAAGCAGATACTAGAAGCAAACAAAACTTTGGACCAAAACCCCAGTTCAAAGAAACAAACGAAAAGTGAAACTATTCTGTCATAGCTACCGAAGGACTACTAAAAGGAAAAATTGTGTTACCTTTTTTAAATTCCCTGTTATGTTCCCCTCCATAATTTTTATGTTCTTGTGAGGAAAAAAGTAAAACATGTTTAATTTTATCTGACTTTATGACATTGCTTTTTAACAAGCAAATGTTAAATGTGTTAAGACTTGTTGTACTAGTGTTGTAACTTTCCAAGCAAAAGTGTTCCTAGAGGCCACTCCTATCTGATTTTTCCCAGTAAATGAGGCAAGCAATTCTAAGATCTTCCACAAAACGTCTAGCCATGTAAAATGGAGAGATGAATCATTCTGCCTATACAAACAAGCTAGCTATTAGAGGGTGGTTGGGGTTTGCTACTCAGAAGATTTCAGGGTGTCTTCCAGCTGAAATCTCAATGTTCACAGCATGAAAAACCTGAAATCAGAGGCCTATGCAAGGCAAGTGCTATTCACGCAGTAGATCCAAAAAAGCAAATGGATAATGCTGGCCATTTTGCTTTTCTGACATTTCCTTGGGAATCCCCAAGAACCTCCCCTTTCTCCTCCCCGAATAAGACCATTTAAGTGTGTGTCAAACAGCCACAGAATACTAAAAAAAAGTTTGGCCAAAACCAACCATGAAGCTGCAAAGGTGTCTGCTCTTACTGTTTCAAATTTTTGCAACTCTGTAATGTCTCACTTTTAAAGGAACAGCTTGATTGCAACGGAGAAAATAGATAAGCAATAAAGTTATCTCCAACTTCCTAAAGGCTTATGACTTCTAAAAAGTTAATCTATCAGCATTCCACATCAGATTTAAAGCATCAAATGCCTGTGAAACAGCAAAGATGGTTGAGGATTATGCTCATTATGGTCGTGGAGTGCTGATTTATTCACAGTAGATAAAGCTGGCAGTCAGATAAATCAAATGCTAAGAGTTTTTGAAGCAGAAGGTGGCTGATTGTCGATAAGTCACTACAGTTACATAAGAAGTGCTGTCAGAACTGGTTTGGTGCAATCAATAGATTTTGCCTTCAAGGGTTCCTGTGGACCTGAGGATGGCATCAGTGTTGATTAACATTCATAACTAGGGAGTGAGTAGTAGTTACTTAAAACAATAATTGACCAAATGGAAAAGGAGAAGTAATTAAGGAAATTGGTAAGTGGAGGTAGTCAGGAAGTTCTTGTGTTCCTTTACATAGATTTTATAGCTTTGGTTTTCATTTTGTTTAGATAAAGTCAAGGGACAACTCTTCAATTTAGAACTTAAGTTGAATCATAAAAATGATGAATAAGTGGTAGCTCTGTCTAGTGAAATGTCTATGTCTGTCAGTAAGTGAAACATTTTTTGGTGGTGGCTTATCCAGAAACAGAGTTTAGTTGTAGAATAAAACTTAGAGAGTGGTTGGGGTTTGCTACTCAGAAGATTTCAGGGTGTCTTCCAACTGAAATCTCAATGTTCTCAGCATAAAAAACCTGAAATCAGATGTCTATGTAAGGAAAGTGCTATTCACGCAGTAAATCCAAAAAAGCAAATGGATAATGCTGGCCATTTTGCTTTTCTGACATTTCCCTGGGAATCCACAAGAACCTCCCCTTTCCCCTCCCTGAATAAGACCATTTAAGTGTGTATTAAACATAGAAAGTAACAAACATGCTAAGATGGCAAGCACACTGGAAACAAGTAGTCCACTTTTGCTGATTGTTTTACAAGCTCACTTTACCTCCCAATCTTGGAAATAAGTTTTAGTTTATTGCTTTAGAGACTAGAGCCAATAGTATAATTTTCTCAAAGGAAATAGACTTGAGTTGTTGGATTACAGGAACTAACTCAACTTCTAAGATTTTTTTTTTGTCATAATTATGGCACTGTCATGTTTTACCATTTGCAACTAGGGATAGTAAGTACAACATTTTAAACTCTCGTTTGACAGACTACTACTAATCACAGACCTGTAATAGGTAATGACCAAATTTATGTGGTTGTTGCACTTCCATAGTTGTCTTAGCCCAATCCTTCCATACTCTTATGATTACTTGGGTTAAAGCTTCTGTGAGGACCTTTTTGGCTCTTGAGATATACTAGATATTTAAGATATTTAGATATCCTAAAGATAGCATAGGATATAGAGATTGTACAAATTGTGAATGAATATTAAGTTCAAAGCAAGGAGTATGTTAAAATGACCAGACACCTGTTTGATAAATAGTTTACTGACCTAGCAGACTTGTGGAAAAAGAATTAGATCTTGATTCTTCTGGGTTTATACTGGTTGTAAAACAGAATGATATAGAAAATGTTTTCCTTGTTTAACTGGTAGTTGAACATAGAACTTGGGTATTATAGATCACTTTTCACTTTTTGGAATGTTATGTATTGAAACTTAATAAAACTTTAACATGGCAAAAAAAAAGTATGCGTGTTGCCTATGGAAAATATACAACCAAAAAGTTAGTGGAATAACCTCTTAGAAGGTGTAGAAAATATTATTGCAACCTAAAATCTATATTCAGTATAAGTGCATATTTCAAATACAAACTCAAATAAACATCTCTGAATATAGCTAGCCCTATAAATATATAAGCAATTGAATTAGTAGTTTGTAAACTTTACCTCAAAGAACACACAGTCCCACATACATTCATAGTTATATTCTATAAATTGTTTAACAAATAAATACTATTCTTACACATTTTTTTTTTCAGAAAACAGAGGTCAACATTATCCTGATAACAAAAGTCAAAAAAGAAACTTCAAGGAAATAAAACTGGGACATAATATCTTCATAAAGATAGATACAAAGTTCTTAACAAAATATTAGCAAATGTTGTTAGCAGTAGGTGTCCAGGTTCTTGGCGTCTTGAACAAGGAATTGAACAAAACTCACAAACAAAGCGAGGAAAGCAAAAGCTGGGATTTATTGAAAATGAAAGTACGCTCCACAATGTGGGAGCCTGAGCATAGGGGCTCAAGAGCCCTGTTTACAGGATTTTCTGGAATTTCAATACTCTAGAGGTTTCCCATTGGTTACTTGGCATATATTCTATGTAAATGAAGAGAATGAGGTGAAGTCACAGAGTCATTTACTTGGGTTGTGCCCTGTTGTAAATGGAGAGGATATTATTTGGTGTGTGTGATCTAGGTAAATGGAAAGGATGAATGTGAAGTTACCAAGTGTAAATAGCATGAATGGAGAGGAGGAAGTGCAGTTACAAAGCCATTCACAGTCCTGTCATTGCCGAAGTGCTTTCATTTGATTTAGTTCTAGAAAGTCAGCATGGATTGGTCTTAAGTTCCCTGCCTCCAGGTCCTATTCTCCTGCCTCAATGTGATATATCATAGCCCAGTTAGTTTTATAGCAGAAATGCAAGGTTGGTTTGACTGTCAACCTATATAATTTACTACATTAATATACTTTTTAAAAAGCTATGATTATCACAAAAGATGCAGTAAGGGCTTTGAGAGCATGTAATACCCATTCAACTTGATAAAAGTCAAGTTGAAAAACTCTCAGCTAAAATCACACTTAATAGTAAAAGATTTAGTGTTCTTCCTTTAATATCAGTAATAAGGAAATGATTTCCACTCTTATTATAAATTCATTCAATAAGTCAAAACATAAAACATATGAACATTAGAATGGAAGAATTAAATCTGTCATTTACATATGACATATGCAGAAATGTGTATGTGCATATACATTGAGGAATCAAGACAAAGCTACTAGCTTTTGTGAGTAGGCTAGCAAATGCTGCAAAGTATCGGGTCTCCACACAAAAATCAGTTATATCTCTATATACTAACAATGAACAGAAATCGAATTGTAAAAAATATCAGTCATAATAGTACCAAAAACATGAAATGACTAGTGATAAACTTTAAAAAATATGTGCAAAGCAAACAAAGAATATTGCTGAGAGAAATCTCTATGCAATCTCAATCAACAGGATTACTTGTTGAAATTGACAAGCTTATTTTAAAATATACACTAATAGATAACAAATAAATAAGTAATTTTAATTTTTAAAGAAAATGTTAGAGGACTTACACTGCGTGGTTTCAGGATATAATATCAATACAGACATAATCAGGCCAATTTGTTGTTGTTATGAAGACAGACATATAAATCATTAGAATAGAATCAAAAGTCTAGTTAGCTAGGTACATAGATAAGACAGATAGATATTAATTTATCTTTCACAATGTTGCCAAGTCAATTTAATGAGAAAATTATACTGTTGAAATACTATGACTGGAACAATAGCATATTTTTATGGAGAAAAATAAAACTTTGTTCTTAATTCACATCATACAACAAACAAATCAAAATAGATTATAGACCTAAAATTAAGAGATACAAGTATTAAACTTTCAGAAGATCAAATATTTTTATGATTTTAGGTTGGTTAGCAAAAATATTTTATATAGAACATAAAAAAGTATGAATAACAAAAATATTCACATTTAGAATATATCAAAATGAAAAACTGCTGCTCTTTAAAACATACCCATAAACAAATAAGGCAAGTCATAGAGTAGAAGAAAATATTGGAAATGAATATATTTAACACAGAAATATAAGAAATTCATCTAGACTATATAAGGAACTCTTAAAATTCAATAGTAAGAAGAAAAAGAATCAATTTTAAGTTAGAAAAAAGATGTAAATATTTATTTGATTTAAGAAGATATACAAATGACCAATTAGCACCTGGAAAAATTGTCAGCATCATTAGTCATCAGGGAAATTAAAACTAAAATTATAATCGGATACCACTACAAATCCAATAGAATGGCTAAAATGCAAGACTAACAATACCAATATTGATAACTGGTTACTCACATACATTGCCTGTAAGAATATAAAATGACAACCTTTGAAAAATGCATTTTAGCAGTTTTATATAAATTTGAACAGATATCTACCATATGACCTAGCCATTCCATTTCTAGATATTTGCCCAAGAGAAATGAAAACATACACCCACACAGAGACTTGTACACAAATGTTTATAGCTTTTTTATTCCCCATAGCCAAAATCTGGGAACAGTCCAAATAGCCATGAACATGTGAATAGATAAACATGTTAGCATAACATACAATTGAATGCTAAGAAGCAATAAAAAGGAATGAACCGTTGATACAACTTCACAACATGGATGATCTCAAAAACATTATGTTGAAAAAGAAGTCAGGCACAGAAGAGTAGTTACTTTTGAGTCATTCATATGAAACTCAGGAAAGAATTCCAATCTTTATAGGCAGAAAGCAGATCTGTGACTGGGGCTAATGTGGGTGAAACAGGATTGACTGTGAAGAATCACAAGGAACTTTTTCAGGTGACGAAAATGTTCCATGTCTTGAGGTAATGATGGTAGTTACCTGTCTGTACACATTCTTCGAAACTCATCAAAATATACACTAAATTGGGATGCATTTTATTTTAAGTAAATTATCCCTTGATAAAGTGTATTGTATTGAAATACAACTTAATCTAAGTTTTATATCTTAGAGAAAATTTAGATTTCCAAAATAAGAAATATGATTCTATATATTTTCATAAGTCTGTGCATCAGTCTATACACCAAGCAGTATATAAAATTATTATACTTATTTATGTTTTAATAAATTAATTTAACATAGTGTAATAACATGATGTAATAGAGAAAACCTTATGCTAAGGATGAGAATCCCAAAGGCAGATTCCAGTTCTGCTTATTGCTGGATATGTGGTCTTCATCAAAGCTACTGACCCCCTCCATGTGTCACTTTTCATACTTAATAATGAATATTATAATACAAATCCAATACAGTGCAGTAATATTCAAATGACAAGATGATTTTGTCCTTTACCACAACTTTAAAGCATTATGTAAAGATAGCCTTTTTTCAATATTATCATCAACATTACTTTAAAAAGTAGACATTGGCTTTGTTACAACTTGTTCAGGGAGTCTATGTTTCCCACAATAAGAGAGAGCTGCTTTATGCTCTAATGTCATCCAGGATTCAGAGAATTTTTAACTTTAATATTAGATCATATTTACTTCAGTGAAAGAGGTGAAAGGCTATTGGAAAAAATAAAAATGGATGGCAGCTTAGCCATCAAAAAATACAATAAAGCTTGGGCATTGTGGCTCATGCCTATAATCCCAGCACTTAGGGAAGCTGAGGTGGGAGGATCGCTTGAGTATAGGAGAGTGAGACCAGCTGGGGCAACACAGTTAGATGTTATCTCTACAAAAAATTTAAAATAGTAGCTGCATGTGGTGGCATGCACCTGTAGTCCCAGCTGCTCAGGAAGCTGAGGTGAGAAGATTTCTTGAGCCCAGGAGTTCCAGGCTGCAGTGAGCCATGTTTATACCACTGCACTCAAGCCTGGGTGACAGAGTGAGACCCTGATTTAAAAAAATAATAATACAATATGTACCATCACATACTGGAAAAAGAATATATACCCTTTTGATTCTAGGTGAGATTTGTTTTCTATGAATATATCTTAGTTTGATATGTCTTATTGGAAGTAAAGTGTATATATTATTATTTATTTGTATGTCTATTTAAAACTAGTAACAAGGAGCTAGGCAAAGCTCAAATGAGGGCATCTTTTCCAAATTTTATAATTCTTTGCTCATTTATGCTTAAATATACATTGATTTTGCTATATGCTAAATTTTTAAATTTTTGTTCTGTATATGAGTGTATTTTGTATTAAAATGAATGACCAACTATAGCAAACCTACTGTAGAAAATAGTGAACTGTGATAATAAATACTTTCTACTCTCTTGTTGCAAAATAAACTGGATCACTTCTTTAGGATTAAGTAGCAAAATAAAATAAAACAAATTCTAACAGAAATACAATGAGTAGCAGAGAGACAAGGAAAAAATCTTAGTTTTATAGCTGTATTCAGTTGTAAAGAAGGTAAGACATATAGTACAGTAGAAGATTGAAAAGTCAAGGAGGAAAAGAATTATTTAACTAAATAAAATGGTTTGTGAAAAACTAACAAATGGAAGACCTCCACAAAAATTTGTAATGGTTTCCTGGCAATGTTATTGGCTAAATAATGGAGTAATGCCCCTGAGAAATTCTAAGTGCACTATTACTTAGGAAATGTAAAAACTTGTTTGGGCTAATTGTTAGACACAAAGAGATTGGACCTCAGATTGAACAAATTCCACAGTAAATGGAAAGAACTTGGCTTTCTGAAGGCTTTGTGAGGGCAATAGCTTTTTTCAGTCAGTGAATCTAAACCGCAAATTTGCTTGGTCAATAGATCAACATTTGCATCTGGGAAATCCATTATTTCCCTTCTATAAGGCCTCACTTTAATCCTACATTGTGATTTTACTAAAGAAAAGTGACTCCTTCACCTCCCCCAGAAAGTTAATATTTTCTTGTCTATTTAGCATTGTGAGTTAACTATTGTTGTGATTAATGCAGTTTCTTGATTTCAAGTTGTTCTCATTTGTTTGAATCCTGAAATAGCTTTAACGAATGGACTGTGACTATAAACAATTCCAATTAAAAAGCAATCACTTTTCAACTAGCTTTACAAGAATTGATTTTCTATTAAAATACTCAGGCCGTGTTTCAATCACAATGCAATAAAGTTCCCATTTTAAATTACAGCAAATGAGATTGAACCACTCTAAACTAAACACACACCTAATACTTCCTAATATTAAGACTCCAAATTTCCAAATTATAGGAGAAAGACCAGATCATTTTAATCCATGAAAGTTTAATTTGCTCCTTGACCTCTCATTCTTCTCCTACAGAGACTCTTCCTTATTTTATCCATTGAAGATATATTACACGTACAAGGCACTGTTTGAGGCAAGTCTTGGAGCAATAAAATAACATACCTGACCACCTCACAGAAAGATCTTACGACCACCATTTGAAGATTTTATAACAGAAGACTTAAACTGTATGTAGTAAACTGACATGAAAGTCAAAATTACATGCAGTGTCTAATTCATGTTGGCCTAAAGGATGGAACAGATCAGATGGTGTAGTGTTTTTTTTTTTTAATTTTAGGGAAAATAGGGATCAGTAGGAGGTAGGCTGCTCAAAGGGTGCTTTATAGGAGAGGTGAGACTTTATATTTCTATTCTATACATATCTTAAAATATCTTTGGCATGCCAGGGTATGAGCTATTCTTGGAAATGCAAAGATAAATAAATACATACCCTGAGTTTATAGACTAAGGACTGAAACATACCTACAAACAAATAACAACAATATTACTTCAACTGAAAACAGAGGAATGAGACAGAGAAGGCAGCTTAATGAATTGCTTGAGCAAAAGAAGAAAATGGAAATGGGAGATTGGCATTTTTTGAATAACTAGTGTCTGCTAGATACATCATTTTGTATATCATCAATTAAAAAACACTGCAAAGCATTATTATTATTATTATTCTCATTTTAGAGGTGAAGAAATTGAGATGCATAAAAATTTAAGTATTTTTCCCAAGATTAATGGTAGGATTAAGATTTGAATGCCAGCCTGCCAGCTTCAAAACCCTTCTTCTCAAAAAAGTAAGTGTCTAGGAACCTTCCAGTTATAATCCTGAATATAATTCTACAAGGGTATAAGACTGCACTAATTTATCACAGGTAACTGTCTAATATCATAAAGAAATAGACCTAAGATCTACTTCCTCAAAAATATTTAGGCTCTATATAGGCCTCTGCAAATTTTCTTTGCAAATGGGATGCAAATGGGGTACAAATGAGAGGAATTTATTTTATTATAAAACTAGCACCAAACTTTTGATACTGACTTTCTGCTTGGAAACTTCCAGCAAAGTTGATTTTGGGGAAAAGAGCAGGAAGCTTTGAACATGGAAATGCGGAAGCAATATTTCGTTCTAAAACCTAAAATTGAAACTTGGATATTATTCCAGTCGCTAATGCTGCATAACCATCCCCATAGTTTATTGACTTAAAACACCTGTTTTAGCTTTCTCATGATTTTGAAGGTCATAAATTTGGGAACGGCTTAGGTAGACAGTTTACCTCTTGCCAAACTGGCATTATCTGCAGAGACTGGACCCATAGGATATGCTTTCAAGGCGATCTCTTCACACGCATGTCTGGCATCTCTGCTCTTTGGCCTCCATTCTCTCTCTCAGATCCTTGGCCTCCATTCTCTCTCTCTGTCTTCCCCCCCCCCCACCCACAACATGGCATTTCAATCAATCTGGGCTGTTTATGTAAGTTAAATATCTCACATCATGGCCACGCTTCTTATATGGCATTGACTACTCTCAGAGTAAGAACTACAGAAGCAAACAGCCCAAGATACCCAGGGTAAGTTGCAGAGATTTCTATGACCTAATTTCAGAAGTAGCAAGACATCACTTTCCCAGATTCTATTAGCCAAATAAGTCATTCAGACCAGCCCAGATGTAAGGGGAAAGGAGAAATAGATGTCACCTCTTCATAGGGATTTGTGTATAGAGGGAAAAAGAAAATTGATGGTACCTATCTTAAAGACAAGCTTCTGCTGCCATGGAACAGTTCTATCGTAAATAACTATTGAGGCTTTTAATCAATCATCATCTAATGTACCCTAATTTTAAAGTGTTTTTATCACAGGTATGTAAATTAAGTAAGTAGAAAGCAGCACAAACTCCCCACTAGAAATTACGTGGGCCAAAATAAGCAAAGAATTCTATCAGCAGGTAGAGTGATCTGCCTAGAGCACCACTGTTTTTTCAAGGATGTGAAAAAGAAGTTTGAAAACATAGATTAGTTTGACTGGAAAGTGCATACAACTATTAATGAGCTTGATCCTGTGATATGAGGATCAAATATTTTGTCCAACATTTCCATCTTCATTTTGACTGGTGAAATACACTGGGTGTGATTTTCCTGCTGAAAAGGCTTAGTGAGGATTTGGTCATGTAGCCTGAGTCAATTCCAAAGATCAATAAGATCCCCACCCTCAAAGACATGAAAAGGAAAAAACAAACAAACAAACAAAAGCATTATCTGGTATCTGGTAATGATCTATCTGAATCATTCTGCAATGCGCAACAAACATCTCCACTCAAGACCAAGCCTGACTCTATCTCCAATAAATCTAAGCTGGTACCTGGCAGAGAGAATGACCATGTGGGAAATTCATAAAATAATGAGAGACTTTCCACCCAGACCCCAAGTCACCTACGTTGCTACACACTCACACACACACACATCACACCTTTGTTCTGATAGCTGTCTCTGTGACCAGGCAGCAAATGAGCTGGTGGTTTTCTTATTTTAACTCCTCTGAAGATTTTCACTTACATAAAATGGAAATGAGATACATCAAAGAAAAATTGTGATAGAAAAGTTAAACAGGCAAGGAAGACTTTATTCAAGACTATTGCAATAAGAGAGAGAGACTGAATTCAATTCCACTAACACAAAAAGGTATTAAGCACTGGAGTGAACTAGTAGAAAAGTACTGATGGGCATTAGGCGAGAGGTTGGCCATTTGATCAAGCCATCTATATTTGCTAATTGTTGCTTATGTAAGTTAAGTTCCTACTCTCCCACCAAAACTGGGAAATAGGAAACTCTCTCTTGATATTTACATTTCAAAGGAATGGCTCCCAGGTCCTTGAGAAAGATATTCCTGGGTTGTGAAACTGGTAAGATACTAGCACTGGAAGAAAATTAATATCTCAAAGGGACAATATCGGGGGAAATTCAGCCAGATATCAGGCAAAATTCACCCCCGATATTTCATGTAGTTTCTTTTCTATTTTCCCTAAGTGTGGGCCAGTATGAGAAATAAAGGGACAGAGTACAAAAGAGAGAAATTTTAAAGCTGAGTGTCCAGGGGAGACATCACATCGGCAGGGTCCGTCATGCCCCACAAGCTGCAAAACCAGCAAGTTTTTATTAGTGATTTTCAAAAGGGGAGGAGGTGTACGAATAGGGTATGGGTCACAGAGATCACATGCTTCACAAGGTAATAAGATATCACAAGGTAAATGTAGGCAGGGCGAGATCACAGGACCACAGGACGGGGGCGAAATTAAAATTGCTAATGAAGTTTCGGGCACGCATTGTCATTGATAACATCTTATCAGGAGACAAGGTTTGAGAGCAGACAAATGGTCTGACCAAAATTTATTAGGTGGGAATTTCCTTGTCCTAATAAGCCTGGGAGCGCTACGGGAGACTGGGGCTTATTTCATCCCTACAGCTGTGACTGTAAAAGACAGCCACCCCCAAAGCAGCCATTTCAGAGGCCTACCCTCAGGGATGCATTCTCTTTCTCAGGGATGTTCCTTGCTGAGAAAAAGAATTCAGTGATATTTCTCCCATTTGCTTTTCAAAGAAGAGAAATATGGCTCTGTTCCACCCAGCTCACAGGCAGTCAGAGTTTAAGGTTATCTCTCTTGTTCCCTGAACATTGCTGCTATCCTGTTCTTTTTTCAAGTTGCCCAGATTTCATATTGTTCAAATACACATGCTCTACAAACAATTTGTATAGTTAACACAATCATCACAGGGTCCTGGGGGGACATACATCCTCCTCAGCTTACAAAGATGACGGGATTAAGAGATTAAAGACAGGCATAGGAAATCACGAGGGTATTGATTGGGGAAGTGATAAGTGTCCATGAAATCTTCACAATTTATGTTCAGAGATTGCAGTAAAGACAGGCCTAAGAAACTATAAAAGTATTAATTTGGGGAACTAATAAATGTCCATGAAATCTTCACAATTTTATGTTCTTCTGCCATGGCTTCAGCCGGTCCCTCTGTTCAGGGTCCCTGACTTCCCGCAACAGGACAGACAAAGAATTTACAACAGGACATTTTATAAAGTAAATGCTCTAAGAAAAGGGAGGTCAACACCTATAGTCTGGGAAAAACCTGTCTTAAGTTTTTTCAAGCTGAGGAGAATGTCAAAACCTTCTTGGTCAAATACATTTAATATACCAAAGCTAGTATATATTATCTAAGGAGTCTTACCTCAAAAGGGATTCTAGGTAACTCACATGAAAACTCCAGCCAACCCTGTCTCTACAAAACAAAAAAGTACAAGCTAAAAGATGAACTCTGAGCCATAGCAAGGACTTTAAACTGCCTAATGGACTGGGAAACATCCTTCAGCTTCAATTTCTCCCTCCAGCCAAGTTGGAATAGAAAGTAATTGTTATGATGATGTCCTGCACAGAAGAAAACCCAATCTCTACCCAGCTTTATCCAAGCTTAAAAGAAAGCCCCAAAGCATTAATTTTGCAATACGTAGAGAGTACTAGATTCAGCAATCTTATATGCTTTGTTAAAACTAATTTGCAGCCTTAAAATTACATTTTATATAGGCCATGCCCCTTCAGGCATTTCAGTTGTACCTAAAATTCTATGAAATAGAATCCCCTCACAGAGGAGCTGTCAGTGTCACAAGCCTAAGAATGTTTGCCCTTGAGATTAACACTGTGGTTCTGAAAAATGCTGTCTATGTGTTTTACCATTTCTGAAATACTCTGCTTGTAAATCACACAGAGCATTTGCTGACATTTTCTAGGAGGCAGAAATTTACCGCTAGGCTTCTGGCATAGGACATAGAAAAATAATAGGAGACAAAAAACAGGCACTTGCGATCTGAAATTTATCCATAAAACTAAATTCAAAAGATAAATAAACTTGCATATGCTATATATTGTATGCCCCAGTCATAAGACAGCATTTTAGGATACTTCAGAAAAATTATAAGCTTTTTGCCCCAAATCCTTTCTGATGTTTTAGTTTCTATAATTAAGCATTGATAGATTTTACTTGAGGCTCTGCTATCAGTAAAAATTCAAACATCTCAAGGAAAAGTTAGAGTAGACAATGATGATACACTGGCCCTTCAGTACCCTGATAGTTCAGAATGTAGATAATGAAGTTTGAGGAAGAGAGTCCCCAACTAACTCATGGTGGATGTCTGAGTTGCTAAAACAATAGTGCTTGCAACTATTGTTGTTTATTATGCCAGCATAACATAGCCTACATAAACATTAATTTTTTAAAAATATTAGAAAAAATAACAAGCAAATTGGACCTAAAGAAAGTCAAAGAAATGGAAACAAATATAAAAGTGTAAATACTGTAATAAAAAACAAAAATCTACAGATTTATATATAAATAACCAAAGCTCGATTCTCAGAAAACACTGATAATGTTTTATCAATGAAATTGATAAAACTTTGGTGAGACTGATTAAAAGAGGGTAATGAAATAACTAATACATGGAATGAAAAAGGGAATAACACAGTAAGCTCCAAACATTAAAAAGACAATATGATAATCATACATATATGAAGGTTTGCTTTATGTATGTCTAACTCATCTGTCTGAAGTTTGGTCAGGCTGAGGGCAATGTCAAAGCTGTCTTGGTCAGGTATACAACCAAAGCTGGAATATGTTATCTAGGCAGCTACACTACAAAACGGATACTAAGTAACTCATAGAATATATAAACAAAGAGAAGAATCTTACTACAGAAAGGACTTTAAACTCCCTAAGGGACTGAAACACATCTTTCAGCTTCAATTTCTCCCTCCAGCCAAATTGGAATAAAAAGTAATTGTATTATTAAGTAACACTAAAGAATGGTGGAGAAAGGAAAGTCTCTTCAATAAATGGTGCTAGGTCAACTGGATATTATAGATTGCAAAAACCATTACAAATAATTTCCTTTTATCAAGAAGCAAAGTCTCCCCTCTGCCCTTTGAATCTGGGTTGGCTATGTCGCCTCACTTGGTCAGAGGGAAATGGGAAACATGATGATGTCAACACAGACTGAAAAGTGCTGGTACACTCTGGCTTGCTCTTTTGTTTGTTGTTGACCTTGAGAATTCCACATCCACCACCATGAAAACAAGCCTGACCTATCCTCCTGAATAACAAAAGCCAAATGAGCCAGCCAGCTAACCAACAGACATATGGACAGACTCTTGGTAACTGTATTAGTCAGGGTTCTCTAGAGGGACAGAACTAATAGGATATATACAGGATACGTATATATATATATATATATATATATATATATATATATATGATATAGATAAGATGTGTATATATAGGATATATATATATAAGATAGGATATATAGGGGGTTATCATATATTATATATAATAGGATATATATATCATATTTTATATATAATATTATATATATTTTATATAATTGTATATATAATATATATGTAATTGTATTATTAAGTAACACTAAAGAATAATATAATATATATAAAATATGATAAATATATGATATATATCCTATTATATATATTATATATAATAACCCCATATATATCCTATTATATATATATCCTATATATACACACATCTTATCTATATCCTATAGATATATATGTATCCTGTATATATCCTATTAGTTCTGTCCCTCTAGAAAACCTCTAGAGAAGAGATATATCCTATTATATATATATAATATATATAATATATAATAACCCCATATATATCCTATTATATATATATATCCTATATATATACACATCTTATATATATCCTATAGATATATATACATACATATCCTGTATATATCCTATTAGTTCTGTGATTGAGTCCAGCAGATTACAGATTACCCAGGTGAATTGACAACCCACAGAGTCATAGTGGGTTAGCCAGGTATGATGGCAGGTGCCTGTAGTCTCAGTTACTTGGGAGGCTGAGGCACAAGAATTGCTTGAACTCAGGAAACAAAGGTTGCAGTGAGCCAAGATCCTACCAGTGCACTCAATAAAATAAAATAAAATAATATAAAATAAAATAAAAATTAATAAAAGCTTAAGTTTTGAGGTGTTTTGTTATGCAGTGAAAGCTAATTGATAGAGAGATTTATATTTTAAAAAAGAACATTGACCACCTTGAAGCATCATCCTTAAAAACAATAAAGCTTCTAGGATAAAACCTAGGAGAATATATCAGTAGGATAGGGAATTCTCAAAGACAGCATAAAACATAAACAATATAGAAAAAAATTGATAAATTGGACTTCATTATAAGTAAGAATGCTCTTACTCAAAAGACAAAATTAAGGAATTGAAAATGTAAGGGGCAGAGTGGGAGAATAAATTTACGACTCCTTTAGTCAATATATGGCTCACAAGTAGACTACGTACAGAACTACATATCAATTAAAAAAAAGAGAGATAACCTTAAAAATGGAGAAAATATTTCAATCCTTCACAAAAGATGACAACTTAAGGTCAATATGCTCATCATAATTTGTAATCAGTGAAATTAAAATTTAAAATGCTCTGAGAGATATGAGACATGTAGGTGAAAGGAATTTTCTAGACAAACAACTCTTGCAAAACTTCCAGAAAAGCTGAAAAAATGAAAACGTAAATTGCATGTGTGAAGCCATCAAAAAGCTGTTGAAGCCACCAAAACCAGAAGGTCTAACATATGCAGACAAGAATAACCTAAGAGAAGCAAGCTTTCAGCTCGTTTTCACTGGGAGCACACACCAGTTCTGAGTTCAGGGAAAGAGGTGAAAAAATCCATTTTTAGCTTTTTTTCTTCCTATGTTGTATTAATTATTGGTGATGAATGATTTATTTTACATATATTGAAGGGAGGATGTTGACATAAAATAGACAGTGTACCTCTGCCGACTTGACATGATTCTAGACTAATTGGTTAATAATATGGCATTATGTTAAAACAAAAATGCATAAGGGACATTGGTAAAGCCCATAATATCAAGACATCTGCGCCTTTAATCCTTGTCTAATATTTGATTGATACCTGCTATGTTATGATTTCATATGACAGGACGTACTCAGGAAATAGAGCTTTTCTTTGTAACAACGAGTATATCTCTTTTGTGAGCTGTTAAAGCCTTCTTCTCTCAACTCTAACCACAGCATCTGAACAAAGTTATTTTGTACAGTCTTCTCCATAAACTCCTTTTTGACCCATTTTGACATCTCAAGAGAGATCAAATCTGTACCTGCCCAGAAAGCTAGGCGATATGTTTGGAATACAGATTTCATCCAGCAGCACAAACATAGAACAGAAAAACGGATTATCAACTAATAGTTTTGAGAGTTGATCATTTCCTCTATGAAAGCTCTTGGAAAAGATTTTGAGAACTCGTGAAAGGGTATTTTTGTAATGAAATCTACCTGTTCCCCAGCCTGTGTTAAAGAAGTTATAAGGAACTTTTAAATGTTGAAGTAGCCGAGGTAGATAGAATGAAAAAAAAGTATGGATGACATGCAAGGCCATTCTTAAATTCTTATATACTTTTTTTTTTTTTTGGAGACGGATTCTCTGTCTGTCGCCCAGGCTCCAGCGCAGTAGCGGGATCTTGGCTCACTGCAAGCTCCGCCTCCCGGGTTCACGCCATTCTCCTGACTCAGCCTCCTGAGTAGCTGGGACTACAGGCGCCCACCACCACACCCGGCTAATTTTTTTGTATTTTTAGTAGAGATGGGGTTTCACCGTGTTAGCCAGGATGGTTTCGATTTACTGACCTCGTGATCCGCCCGCCTCATCCTCCCAAAGTGCTGGGATTACAGGCGTGAGCCACCGTGCCCGGCCAATTCTTATACACTTTTAGTATCTCTTATTTATAAAGCACACTTCACTTATAAAACATGTCATGTGTGTTGTCTCATTTAATCTTCCTGTGTTTTCATCTGCTACAAGCAATTTTAGCATATCCATTTGAAACTCCAGTCTTGTGAATATTACCTCCATAAGAAGCAAACATAGGATTTTGTGAAAGAAACTAGCCTTACTTCATGACTGGTATTGATGGATTTGAAGGAAATTTCTCAACCTCTTTATAATGACCATCCATTTTATGTCATATTTTCAGAACAAAAAAAAATGTGGTAGGAAATTACCTGACAGCAAAGATTTTTAGAAATTACAGTTGAGTTTGATGAGAACTTGTTGGTTGGTCACTGAACTGGATTACATTCTAGGTGCACATGGACTCTAGAAATCTAAGCTGGAACTACATAGAGGTATTTAGGGGCATGTATATCTCTAGCTTCTTTTCACATAACAGACCAATTGGGATATCTTCACAGTTTGTCATTTTGTCAAATGATAAAACATTGGGGACTATTAAATGATTTTACTAATTTTAAAGTTTAATAGGTATTTACATTCAGACATCTGATAGACAAGTGAAAATGGAGAAGAAAATCTCCAGGAAAGTTAATTATAAGCATACAGAATACAGAGAATTACCAAAATGCAAGGAATAGAAAGTTCCCGGAAATTGTCTAATTTTTTTCAAATAATCTGTAACTATTTCTACCACAAAGTAAAGACTCCTAGGAAGGTAATTCCAAATTCCATCTTATAGAAAATTTAGTGTCTACTTATTTACAATCAGCATTTAGTATCTACTTATTGTTTTACACTGTGCAAAGTATTGTGAAAACAAAAACAAGCAAAATCAAACAAAAAAACAACCTTCATATAAAATTCTGGATACTGTGGTCTAAAATAGAAATAGACAAATTTCAATATTCAAGGAAATGGAAGTAGAAAAAAATTCATGTTTGTATTTTTGGAGAATCAGTTTGGCAAAGTGAACATGGACCTGGAGAAAAGAAAAACTCAGCATTGGAAATTACTTTCTGAATGTATTTCAGAGATTTTTCTGAAGATGAAATTTTGTATTACTCTTGAAGTCTTACAGGGATAGGATTGCAGTTGTTGAGCACTCTTGACAGATTTTTTAGCCCCATATTAAGAAGAAATTTCTTAAAGAGTTCACTAAATGCCAAATGAGCTGCCTCAACAAATAGTGAGTTCCCCATTAGTAGATATGTTTATGTATAAGCATGACAAGCATTTGGCAGGGCTGACTTTTCAGATTCTTTTTTTTTTTTTTTTTGAGACAGAGTCTCGCTCTGTCGCCCAGGCTGGAGCGTAGTGTGCAATCTCGACTCGCTGCAAGCTCCGCCTCCCGGGTTCACGCCATTCTCCTGCCTCAGCCTCCCAAGTAGCTTGGACTACAGGCGCCCGCCACTAGGCCCGGCTAATTTTTTTGTATTTTTAGTAGAGACGGGGTTTCACCGTGTTAGCCAAGATGGTCTCGATCTCCTGACCTCGTGATCCGCCCGCCTCGGCCTCCCAAAGTGCTGGGATTACAGGCGTGAGCCACCACGGCCGGCCCCAGATTCTTTATAAGACTTGAGAGTTCATCTTGTAAATGAACCAACTTTGGTGGGTTCTCTTTCATTTCTGAAGTTAACAAGTCAGTTGAGTAGAAAAAATTAAAAATAGCAAAACTAAAGAAAAATGTACTCGTAATTAACCAAGGGACACTGTAGAAAGGAAGATTCTGACAATAAAGCCCTAAGCTGAGTAGGGTCGGGGTGCCGTGCTAGCCAGTTGTACCTTCTTTGTAATCAGTAAAAGGAAAGTAGGTCTGTGATGAAACTACGCTATGAAGAGAACAGGGCTGAAGCAATGAACTTACACCTATTGGATAAGGTGGGGTATGTGAAAACAGTGAGGGTGGGAATAGCAAGAATTATTAGAGGAAGTGAAACAATGTGGCCTCAAGGAATGGGCAAAATCAGGTCAAGAGGAAGAAAAGGTATTTTAGGCAAAAATTTAATTCTAAAAAAGGATTCTTCCTTTGCATGAATTTTCGTCACTTTGCTGTAATACTGAAAGCATGCTTCTGCTTCTTGATGTTTTGATATTGTGGTGTTGGCATGCATCAAGGGCAATCACAGTGTTGATGAAATACGCTGAGCCTGGGCCAAAATTCAGGCTCACACAGCCCACTGATTCTGTATTAGGAAAAATCCTTGTGCAGTGGAGGCAGTGTGTTAATAATTACACAGGTTGGGTAAATTGCTTAGATAAATGTAGAGCAGTGTCAGATATTCCTATGGGGACCACCTGATTTGTACCCCGCTGGAAGTCATATGTCCTTTCTTCAGTGTTTGAGAATATGACAAGCCCCAGTGAATAGAAACAAAGAGACAGAGTCCTGAGTAAACACACATATTAATGTCAGAAAGATTCGGAAGCATCAATTCAGGATGTAGAAGGATGGTCCTCAAACAAGATTCAAATATAAACTGCCACAGTTTGGGTCAGTGAATATTTCTAGGGAAATCTAGCAGTTCATCTGAAACCAAAATTCAATCATACTGCAGTCCAATAACATTGTACAGTCAGTTCTGTTACAATACTTGTGTTGAAAATCTGAAGTTGTTCCAATGTGACTGATATATTAAGAAAAAATTAGAGGACAAGCCAGATTTTTTATACACTTATGCCAGACTTTTTATTCATGAGAAATACCAAGAGAATGCAAAAAACTGCACCCAACTCAGCTGAACTATGCAGAATATACAAGATGCACTCACCTCAAACATCTACCAGCCACCTCAGCACACCGCCTGTGTTTTAAATTCTGAGCTGCACTCATTACTATCTGGTGGTACAGTGTTCCACACCATTTCAGTCAACCTTCCTTCCATCACTTCACAGTAACTCAAAAGCTGCAACTTTTTTGATGCCCACTTCCACAAGGGAATTTAAGTCTTTTTCGAGAAATATTGCATTATTTATTTATTTCTTAACCATTTAATATGTGCAAAACTGTGCTACTATTTTAGTTAGGTTCTTATCTTTTTGTCTAATGTGTTACTAACAAAATTTTCAGTGTTGTGCTCCTAGCCCCCTTTTCTCATAAGCCCTATGGTTTTTCTTGTGTTAGTTTGTATAATGTGATTTTTAGCAACATATGCATCATCTTAGAGCAGAACTTACCATACTATGAAATTTTTGTCTGGAGGTGGAGATGTCATTATGTAGAACAGATGAATAATCCATAAACAGGTATCTCAGACGTCACTGATCCAAGCTTGCTACAGATATCTGATTGCCACCTTGTAGTGAACAAAAAGAATACTCGGAAAACAAAAAGCATCTGTGAAAAGAGGGAAGGAAAAGAGGAAGGAAGAAAGGAAGGAAGATAAAGAAACATATCGATCATAATTGCTCCCATGGCAATCCATACTGTGCTGTTAGGTAACTGTCCTTTTTGAATAAAGTTTGTTCTCATCCACCATTCCACCTCCACCATGTATCACCCATCAAAATCAGTCTCTTTCAGTGATAAATACACTACATGAGCTCATCTGTCCACTTCTCCCCACCGCAGTCTGATCTCAGAAGAGCTGCTTAAGGTGGCTTTTGGATACAAAGAAATAGTAAGTAGCCTAAAATATCAAAGCTAAGGCTATCAACTAGTATAGATCCACCTTTCTTTACATCAGGCCTTGGGGGAACTTTATCAGATTACACCATATAGGTACTTCCTATAGTTGAGCCTCTGATTCATTCAGAAAATCTCTCAGCATCTCAGTTACTCTTCCAGATACAGTAAATCTTCATCACTTGTGGACTCTATATTAGTGAATTAATCTACTAGCTAAAATTTCTTTTAACCCCCAAATCAATACTTAAAATGATTTCAGAGTCATTTGCAGAAATGTGTAAAGTGTTAAACAAATTGAGTTGCTGAAAAGGGTGTGTTCCCAGCTGAGGTCACACAACGTGATGCTCTGTCTTCTCTGTTCCAGCTCATACTGTAAACATGTCCTTTTTGTAATCTATGTAATGCCATTTTTTTTTTACTTTTATACTTTTTTTTTTTGGTAATTTCATGGTTTAAAATGTTCCTGTGAATGTAGTGCTGAAGTGCTGCCTAATGTTCTTCAGTGCAAGAAGGCTGTGACGTACCTTACAGTTTAATGTGTGTTAGATAAGCTTTGTTCAGGCATGAGTTATAGTGCTATTTGCTGTGAGCTCAATGTTTATGAATCCAATATATATATTACATAAGATATCCTTAAAGAGAAACATACATAAAACAAGGTTATGTATTTATTCATTGACAAAAATGTGACCAGAGACTCAAAGGAGCTTAACCTCTTGGAGGAATGATTCAGTATTCACTAATTCAGTGTTCTCAGTGACTTAATAGAAAGTAACTACTGTGAATAAGAAGAACCAACTGCACTGAAGATTAGTGTTATAATTGCCCTTTATATGTCAATATTTTTGCATTTCCCTCTCTTTTCTAGAGATTAGTCACAGAATCCACATCGAACTACGTATGACTTATTTACTCAGATGCTGCAGAAAGAGAGTAATATTGGGTTGTGATTATGTTGATAAATCTGACAACGACCAAAATGGACAATTCAGGGACCCCTGTGTTGATTCCTCTGCTTTTAAGACCTGGGTGTTGACCTACCTGCTTGGATTGTTTTTGATTCTTGTACTAAATAGATTGGTAGAAATTGTGGAAGCTTGCTTTCCTTAGATTTCATAATAAATGTAGTCATTTGGAATGCAAATAAAAACGTAACCAAAAGTGTAAAAATGTTTTTTGACATACAAATATGTTAATAGGGTATGACAAGGTTAAGTAATTGAGAGAGAAATTACTTACTGTTCTTTCTTTATTCTTTCCTTTCCCTTCATTCCTTCTTCATTTTGAAAATCAAGATTCCATGCCAATAAAGAGCACTGTGTATCAGAACTAAAATATTTTCTGCATTTTGGAACTTTAGACATCAACTTTTTAACATACACTGAAAAGTCATAGCAAGGAGTATACAATACAAATTGTTATTGAATTAGTCCTGTGGACATCCCCACCAACACATATCATAGACCTTTGAGTAATACTATCTGGGGAGAACAACGATTACAAGCAATATTTGTATAACTAAATGTTTACAGTGTGAAGAATATGCTCATAATAATTAAGTCAAAAATTATCTTCTTAATTATTTAGCTTATCTTTACAAACACACACATACTCAATACATTATTATATATCTATAATAGTAAGTTTTAATTCTAAAAACTGTCAAGTACATCAGATTAGGTCTAAATTATCTGCACTTATGCATAAGAAAATTAATGTTTCATTTATAAAGTCATTTGCCACAGTAAATGAGATTAGGTCACAACAGAACTGGATTTTAACCCAGTTTTTTCTCCAGATCTCTAGTTAATCTTCTATATGTGCAGTATCATAAGCATAATAACATTGATTACTATGGATTAATTTTAAAATAATATTGAGAACAAATATTTTCATGCTTTATGAATTAGAAAAATTTCCCATAACTCTATTGGTAGACTATAGTTTGAATTTTCTAAGAAAATTATTTTGTTTGCTAAAAAGTGATTTTCAATGAGTATACTGTTTCATAAAGAACAAGGAATTATATCATTAAATATTACTTCCTAGAATTTAATTTACCTCATGGAATTATAATAAAAACATGGTAGTATATTGATTTATTTTGAAAGTTTTCAGAAAATTAAATCTTATTTTGATAGAATGATATTTGCAAAAACAATAATAATTGGAAGACAGCAATCTCTCCTAATAACATTTAGTAATTTTTGTTTATCCTGGCAATTTTAGCCAAAGTTTCTGAAATAATGTAGTTGACAAAATGGCTGCTCTGAAATGTAACCAAAAAATGACATTTACCTGTGATGACAGTGTATCAAGCTTTTAAATAGTGAGTCTTTTGTTTTAGAGAAGCACAAATAAGTAGAATACTCACTGTGCAATGTGCTCTAAGATAAGAAGTTTACATAAGAATTCTGAAATACATTAGAAATTGTTTTAATTTTTAATTTTAGTTTTAATGGAAGTGAACCATCTGTCTGCCAATACCTAGAATGATCAGAGGGCATTAAAATAACTATTAAGTTGCTGTCTTGTGGTGCTGAAATGTAGAGTGCATATGGCAACCTGCACCTATAATAACGTTTTTATTTCTCTTGATTTTTATCATAATTCCAGATGTTTATTTGCTCTTTCCTAGTAGCCTAGAAATGTAAACCTTCAATAATAAAAAAGCCTGTTCTAGGTTCTTAGATTATGAAAATAATCAATAATGAGTACAAGAAAAATGGATTATTAAGCCCAAAAATAATCTTTAATATAGGATTGTTGTAAGACTTAGATGAATTAACTGTAAAGTATTAGAAAAGCTTTGGGGACATAGGAAGCATCATATGTTTAATAAATTAATATGTTGTTATAGATATAGCCTCTACATATTTAAAAATAATTGACAGTATTATGGGAAAATATATATGAAAATAATTATACTTACAGTTTTTAAGATAACTTATTCAAAAATTTATCTAGCTTGAAAACCAAACAAATCACGTAGTATTTGAAGAATACATTTAATGAACTTTATTAAATTTCTACACAGGGAATTATATAGTTTCTTTTAAGGAATCTGTCTGTTGTTTCAGGTACAAATAGACTATCACAATAATTAACCATGTAACAGACTTCAAAGCAAATTTCATGAATGTCAAAGAAAATAATGAATATGTTCTTAATAAATTTAGAAATAAATAACAAAACAATAGCAAAAAAGATGTATGTTGGTAATTTAGAAAAAAAAAACAATAAAACCACGCAATTTTACTGCCATTTTTCACTTAAAAATTATGAAGTACAAGGAATTGTATAATAATTAAACAATTACATTTCAAAAGTTGTGAGAAATAACTAAAATGGTGTTTAAAAGACATTTTAAAGAAATAAAATCCTAGGAAAGCAAGACAGAAAATATCAAATAAGAAGGATAGAATAGTTGCAAAAACACGGTAATAATATTTTTTAATAAAAAAATACAGCATGCAGACAGATAAAGCAGATATAGGAATAGATATTTTAAACATCAGTGAAGTTGAAAGCCTTACAGTTTGATGAAACTTCACCCTAAAAATAAAATACAATGGAAAAATCAGTAGATACTAATGACTTTTAAAAGACATAACTTTTTTAGCTTTCTCAGTACTAGATAAGTGATACAGTAGCTGTCATATATCCTATCATAGGATACATATTATCAACACAACTTATCCTAATGATGGTAACTTTGATCACTTGGTTAAGATGTTGTGTGCCAGGTTTCTTTACTGTAAAGTTATTATTTTTTCCCTTCTTCATACTCTATACTTTGGGACAAATCACTTAAGTCTTTCCTACACTCAGTGTGATGGAGGAAAGGATATAGATATATTCCACTTCCTAGTGAAGGGAATATGTAACTTACATTATTTGGAGTTCTTCTGTGAGAACGATTTGTCTTTCTTCTCCATTTACTTATTTATTCAATTTACTTGTTATATATATGCAGCCTCTACATATTTAAAAATAAATTGCATGTGAACTCCTTTTTTGCCATTAAAAGTTATGTCAAAAAACCGCAATTACTTTTGCATCTACCTAATATTTACATCAGCATGGACTAATAATGTATATTTGTTTTGTACTTTGGGTTGTAATTTAATACCACATATTTATCGTGTTGCTCAAATGTATCCAGCTTTGTCCATTGGGAGTTTTTTCAGGCGGGCTTCTATGTCCCTTTGGCATAACCCCTTTGTGTTTTTAGCACATCCTTACTTTTTAGCATTACTGGATAGCTCTAGGCTCATCTGATGTTTTTCTCTCCTCCAGCCCTAGAGTCTGGTTCTTTTTATTGGGATCTGGTTCTTTTTATTGGGAAATGTCATTTAGAAATCAAGATTTGGGTACCAGGTATATATACTTGTTGCTACTTAGATGTTACTGTTTCCAGGCCCTCTGAGCAGAGGGCTAGCAAATACATGTGTGCATATGAACTCCTCTATACACATTTCCATAATTAGGTCTGTAACAGTTCACAAGTATATATGTATTAAGCTAAATATGAATTCATACTAATATCTTCAGCTCTCATTTAGTACCACAGAATTCATTCTATCCTTCCTTCCTTGCTTGTCTGCAATTTCTCTCCCCAATGTGAAAAACCGAGCACTAAATGTCCACCATTAATTTCCTTTTTGTACATCCCTAGTATACATGTAAAGCAAGTTTAGAATTATTAAACTGTCCTTCTTGCCCCAACTCAGTGAATAACAAACTTACTGCTTGCCCCGCCTCTGTGAATAACAAATTTACCAACTAGAGTACAGAATTGATATATATAGCTCCTTTTTGTCTTTTTTTATTACAATTTCCCATTAAAACAGCGCTTCTTAAATTTATGTATGAGCTTTATTACTTTTATTATGTTAAACCCCTAGGCTTTAAAGGTTGATTTGTTTCCACAGCATAGCCTGAGTTACTCTGATGCAAATAAAGCTAAGCAAGAGCTTTCAGGAAGATTTATTGTGCTATGAAATAGTATATTCTTAAAGTGATTAAAACTCAATGAAGTTTTCTATCTTGTTAATTTTACATGTTTTGGACCTTTCACAGTTTTTATCAAGCCAAGACCTTAAATGAGTATTTCTCAATTCTTCCAAGCATGGAGAGTCCAGAATGATTTCAGCTATAGGCAGACACAGTTGAAAGTAATAGAGACGAATTCTATCAGGTTGAGCTGGGCTGTACATAAGAAGGCCCCCACTCATGTTAGCTTTTTTTACATCGTTACACCGTTCTTTAAATGCTTACATGCTAATAAGAGGAACTGAGCTCATCTGCAGAGTTCTAAGATTTTACATACAAATGCTTGTGTAAGCAAAGTAGCTTTCTCCCTAGTACACATTTCTCTAATCAGGTGAGTTAGGGAAGGGCTTCAGAGGGACACTTAGATAGCAATACAGGTGGTGATGTTGTGTTTTGGCAGGGCGAGGGGAGCTGAGGGAGGAGCAGAGAGGTCTAGAAAATGTTTAAAATATCTAAAAGAATTTTAAGTTGAATTAAAATAGGCTGAAGCAAATGTTTATATCTTGGTTGTATAGCTGTTTTTTGTTTTTGTTTTTGTTTTGAGACGGAGTTTTGCTCTTGATGTCCAGGCTGGACTGCAGTCCCGAGAGCTCGGCTCACAGCAAACTCCACCTCCTGGGTTCAAGCGATTCTCCTGCCTCAAGCCTCCCGAATAGCTGGGATTACAGGCGTGCACTACCACACCCAGCTAATTTTTGAATTTTTAGTAGAGACAGGGTTTCATCATGTTGGCCAGGCTGGTCTTGAACTCCTGACCTCAGGTAGTCCACCTGCCTCAGCCTCCCAAAATGCTGGGATTATAGGCATGAGCCACCGCGCCTGGCCAGTTGTATAGCTCTTTTAATGTTGCTCTGTAAATATACATTAACTGAATCAAAATTGCATCCTGAAACAAAGAAACTGGAAAATAAGTTTTAAAACTGGAGCACTGGTGACTAATCAAAGATTTTACCAGAAACGAGGGAAAACAAATTAGGACAGGAAGACGTGGTTTTCCAGAAATTTGTTAAAAAAATTTAATCTTTATTCTGAGTTAAATGTACCACATTGTCTTCATTTACATCTTATGTCTTTTTAAATTTACTCTTATACAGAGTAAAATATGGGATTATGTGAAGCACTGAGTTAAGCTGAGAACAGAACTGTAAAGTGTTGGAGCAGTCAATTAAGACAACACATGGAAATGAAAGTAACCACCAAGTGTTTATCTGCCTACTGCCATAGTACAGGCAGGAGGTCAAATCAGAGAAAGTGCTGGATCCCTCACCATTCCATTTTCCATTTCAAAGGCCCCCATACAAAGGCCTCCAAATGGGAGCACCTGGGATGCAGGGATGCAGACAGGCTTCTATGTGGGCAAGGCCAGACAGAAGGGCCTGAGTCCTTGCCTCAGCTCCTTTCGGTGACTTGCAGTGCATTAGATATGGGCCACATCCAGTGTGTGCAGGGCAGCTGTGCCCCAGAAATAATTATTATTAATAATTATTATTGTGTATTCCTAAGTTTTTAAAAATGTGTTGACATTGGGAAAATATATGATTTTTCTTCCTTTTCCTTTGATTTTCTTTTTATTTTATTCTAAGTTTGAAAGACTTTTGAAATGGTCACAAAAGATTCCTAAGTGTCCTGTCTAATGAACTCTTCTAAGTTATCTTAAAGTTTCATTGTCTTTGCTCTGTTTCACTATTCTGTAAGTTGTTGAAAACTGATAAGAAGGCAAATATATCTATAGATATATATGCAAATATATACACACGAGAGTTGCATCTGATAGAATGCAACTGATTATTGCCCTATGGACAAACTAGTTTTGCATTCCTTTGTAAATTCATATCAGCATTCCTATTGCTTACAATGTGTGATTTTTCGAATTATCCAGGTTTAACCTCATACTGGTTCCCTCATTAATTAAACAGTTAAATAAAGTCTTTGACATAGATATTCATTTTATGTCATAGGAGATTCATGACTTTGTCATATTTTTTAAAATTCTATAAGTAATATATACAAATTTAATTAAATATTACTAAAGTCTGGGAGACAAAAATGGCAAGCACCTCAGCAAACTATTCCCATGTGCAATCTTGTTCCTTCAAAAGTCAATACTCCTAAATACTCTGGCCAGTCACCATATTTATAAATAATTTACTTACACTATGAGGTCTTTTTGTAAGTTTTAGATGCATTGACTTCTTGTGTTGATGAGAGGACAGTTTTCTAATATCAACTCTACACCTCACTCCTGACATCAATTTGCTCTTATTTCAATTTCTAGTAGACCATTCCCCTTACCATTTGCATGGATTTACTCCTCCCTCAAAAGCTTTGAAAATAAATGCCATCTCTACACAGAGACTTCCCTGTCTAACCTTTCAGCTATTATCTCCTCTCTTTTACTTTCTCTCTCAGTGCTTTCTAAATTTGCTACATCACACATACAAATAATTTATAATTGGCATTTTGCTTGTTTCCAATAATAGTTGTTCTAATTGTTTTGTTATTGTTATTGTGTATTCCCCCACCAGATTGTGAGCTGCATAAGAGCAAACACCAGTCAAGTTATTGAATGCCTTCTTGGTAAGAAGAAACCAGACGTGTGTCAGAATCAGCCTTTTTGTCCTTAATAATTTCACTATCTAATAGAAAATATAGACATATAAGTATCCCTATAAATGGTATATTTTAATTGCCCAGGATTCCATAAATTTATTTCAGAGCCCATTTGCAATAGAGCAAACTAGAATCATTTGTAGTAAAATTAAATTTCATCTACATTGTCACAAGCACCCATGAAAACATTGTCATAAGCACCTATTATGGGTAAGGCAGTCAACTGAGATCCTAAGGCTCCTGGTGATGCATTAAAATCGCATTAAGGAATACAATGAAACATATATAACTTATTTCAAAAAGGAGTTACACCAATAGATGGTAGCCATTGTCAAAGACCAAATGAAAGAGGCAAATAATAAATGTTTTCTGAGGGTAGAGTGACATCATTCTGGCAAGGACAAAAGGGGCATGTTTCAAAGAATAAACTATGTTTAAGTTGGAGCCTCTATATATGACTTAGGTAAATGGAGAGAGAGGAAGAGACACCTGAGAATGTGTACAGTAGGTTTAGTCAACAATAAATAGATTATTTTGTCTGTGGCCAATGCAGCATATATAAGAACCTCCTTCTGGAGGCTCTATCCAGCCTTTCTGAATCACAAGACTAGTCTACCTGTGTGATTGTCCTGCTGAGTCTTCTGCCTCCCTGAAACCTGTGAAGATCATAAAACTCTTACTCTACTTAAGTTATAACAGATAGTTAGATCAAAAAATAGCTCAGGTTTAATGTAAGCATTCCCAGTGGGGCTCTTTCAATTCAATCTCAAATTATATTTGCTCCAAGGAAAGCACACAATGAATCACAATGAAGGGGGGTTGGAAATGCATCAATAGATAAAAATAGCAATGACTGTCTTCCAAGTATACATAATTAGGGAGAATTCTGGGGTTATAGATGACTGTTTTAGAGAACATATGGGGACAATTTAGTCCATCTTTATTAGCTCTACATTGCAAATCAGCATTTTTGAAAAGAACTTTTAAATTAATATTCTAATTTCTGCTACGTTAGGGTCACTGAGGCCAGGGGCTCCTCGCCTCAATTATGGGCAATTCTTTGCCCCTTAGTTTTCATCACTGAGCACAGAAAACTGCTGAAGGCAGAAGGCAGGCTCTGTTGTTTCCTCTTCTCTCGGAGTCCAAGAATGGTAATTTAATTCAATTAAAAATTGTATTCATTCAAACTATGGCACAGATCTCTGACTTGCAAGAAAAAGCTTCAATCAAGTTAATTTAACAATTTTTTCCAGATGTCTCCAATGCCCTCTAAGACTGCAAGCCTGCTCTTCCCCAGTCTTCTCTACTGTTCATCCAATTGCCTCTCAGATCACTGAGAATTATTCCTTATTCTTCTTTCTTGTTTCATTCCCAGTTTCCAAAACTTCAAATGGTCACTGGGTCCTGCAAATTCTGCCTCTTCGGTATCTCTGGACTCTGCCCCTTCCTGTCAGATTATTCCTGGATTATTGTGATAAACCTCTAGCCAGTTTATCTGCCTCCAGTCTTGTCTCCTAAAAATCTCACTTACTCAATTGCTAAATAAAGTTTCTAACACTTGCACTTGTCTCTCCTTCTTCCCTGCCATACTGCAAGCTCCAGATGGAAGTTATGCTTATTAATACTGTTTCTCAATGCCTGAAACATGTATGGTATGCTAATTATGTGAGAACACACAAAATGTTTTCTTGAAAACTACCATCGTTTATCTCATTTTTGTCCAAAACTCTCCCTATTGAATCCCATCCCAGTTAAGCAAACATTTAAACAAATATAACACAAATGTCATTAATAATATTTTTAATCCAACCCCTAACTGGAACCATCAATAATTTCATTAAAAATATCTACAGAAATGCATTAAAGTCCTCCCTACTTTTTAATGTCTAATGAAAGAAAAAAGTCAAAATAATAAATCAAATCTTATCTGTGCTGAAAGTAGGAGAAACTCAAATTTTATACTATTACTCTAAGTAAAATGAGCCGAAAAATTATAATTTTAAAAAATTTATTTTAACCATATTGGAAATTGATGAGAAATATAAAACACCTCTGAATGTCATTGGCCTAATGCAAGGTTTTCAGAATTAAATGAAGGAAACTATTCCTACAAAAATAGTGTCAAATAAGGCCATAGATGTGGGTGAGTTGTGTGGAGGAAAAGGATCAAATCTGCACCCATGCTGAAGATTGGCATGGGTCATCACTCATGGCAAATAAAATAAGTTGTGTGAACAAACAGTACGGTATTTCTGGTATTCAAAATAAGATGGCTGAGATGTAGACACAAGCATATTTTGAAAGTACAGACCACAGACAACTGTGCAGGCACAAATAAAAATACATATAAAATAAGGGATCAAACAAAAATCCTTGAGCCATTGGAAAACCCTTACTTTACCCTCCTATCTGAAGATGGAAAAACAAATCTGACCCTGGAAAGCACCTCCCACAGAACAAGGTGACCCCCAATCATGGGAAAGAGCCTGCCTTAAGCAGACCAGGAACTTCGTAAAATATCCTAAGAGGAAAATCTCCCAGAAAACAAGATAGTAGAAAAAAAATTAGATAATGTTTTCTCAGGGATTAGTAGACCAAGTAGATAAAAAAGCTATATTGCAAATACCTTTAGTATCAAGCACCATTAATACAGTTGACCTAATAGAGTAATTCTCAGAATCTATGTTGCATCCAAATACCAAATCATTTAATTTTAAAAATAGAGAACAAGCCCAACAAAAACTCTGTAATCAAAATTTATGAGAGTGTGACCTGGGCATTGGATATTGATCTTGAGACTCACTGATCTAATAAATATATACCCAAATATATATCATACAACAAGGATACACTTTATAAATTTGGTGTCCATGGAACAAATATCAACCATATATTAGGGCTAAATAAATCATCATAAAAAAACTCAAAGGACAATCAAAGTATTGAACATGATGTCATTTGACAAGAGAGCAATATAATCCTAGAAATAAGTAATAGAAAAATCCCATCAACTTAAAAACTTTAAAAAATCTATAAATAATTTTAAAAGATCTTTTCTGAATAATTTTTGGACCAGTGATGAAACTAGTATCACCATCTAAATTTTAACAGCTCCATTGAGATACAATTCTCATGTCATATAATTCACTGATTTTAAAGAGAGAATGCAATCTTTTTCAGCATATTTACAAGATTTTGCAACCATCGCTAGTCTTATTTTAAAATATATTCATCTCCCCTAAGATAAACCAAATCCATAACCATTAGCTATCACTCATTCTCTTTTTTCCCATGCCCCATTAAGCCACTCTTAGCCCTCTTCTATTAGTAACCACTAATCTACTTTCTGTCTCTTTAGCTGTGACTCTTCTGGACATTTTACATAAATGAAATCATACAAAATATAGTCTCTTGTGACTACATTCTTTACCTTAGTGTAATATTTTCAAGGGTTATCTGTGCTGTAGGATTTGTAATTACTTAATTTCCTTTGTATTAATGAGCAATATTCCTTAGTATGGATATTCCTTAGAATGGATACATTTTGTTGATCCATTCATCAGTTGATGGACATTTGGGTTATTTCTATTTTTATTATACATAACACTGCTATAAACATTCATGTACAAGCTTTTGTGCAGTTCTATGTTTTCAATTCTCTATCAATGTGTGCATAACTAGGAGTGGAATTGCTGGGTCCTATAATAACTATGTTTAACGTTTTAAGAAACACTCAAATTGTTTCTCAAAGGAGCTGCCTTAGTAAATTCTAACTAGCAATTTTCCAGTGTCTTAACGTTTTTGCCAACTCTTGTTATTGTCTAACTTTCTAATGATAGCCCTCCTAGTGGGTTTTAAGTTGTATCTCATAGTTTTGGGTTTACATTTTCCAAATGCCTAATGTTATTGAACATATTTTCATGTGCTTACTGGCCATTTGTATATCTTCTTTGGAGAAATGTCTATACAAATCCTTTGGACATTTATTAATAGGGTTTTCTTTTTATTATTAAGTTATAAGGGTTCTTTATATATTATGAATACAAGTCTGTTATCAGACATATGATTTGCAAATATTTTCTCAAAATTCATGATTTTTCTTTTCATTTTCTTGATGGATGGTAAGCTGTTATCACAGTTCATGGTGTCTATAGGAATTTTCCCATGTCCAGCCAGGACATAATAGCTTGGAGGTTCCTTATTTTATTGCTTCTGAGATGCAACAGCGTCGGTCATGCACATAGTCTTTCATACTGCCAGGGAGGGATGTAATTTTATTTTTGAGCTAGGTTTCCTATTAATTATCCTGGAGTCAAAGCAGCTGACTGATCAGTCAATGTTTGATCAAAGATTAAGTTTAAGCCCCCTGTGTCAATGAGACTTCCCTGTGTTGATGGGTTTGTTTGAGGATTGGGGAATGGTTTCATATCTGCCCCACATCCTAGTGATTGTTCCCGAGTGGGTGCAGCTTAGCATATGGGCACAGCCTTCCAACCCCCAGAGATCTAAGAAGTCTGTGATCCTAAGAATGGTCCTCTTCTCTCTCCCTTTCCCTGGTTCTCTCTATTGAACGTCTAGCTACTCAGCTATTTTCATTGTGTTATAAAGCCACCAAGGCCTCCTAATGACTCTTCATTAAAATCTGTGTTATTTTCAGCAAAGCCGTCAGGCATGTCTCAACTTTCTGTTTCAAAACAGCCCTCTCCAGGAAAGCTGCAGAGCTCTTGGTCCTTATGACCTACTTTCCACACTGAGCTGAACTCCTATTCCACTGCACCATAGCTGGGACCAGGGACTCACTTTTCTTAAAGTGTCACTCTCACTTATTGAGTGGGAGCAGGGACCAAAGGGGCAACTCCTGTTTTTTTTGGCTTGTTATTGTTAGCATGAAACCTCTGACCTACAAGTGAGCTGGAGCAGGGGCAATTGGAAAGGCCTGATATTTCTGGCCTTCCACACTTTAGGCATACCCCTTGCTCTACAAGTGGAGTCCAGGCAGGGAAAGGGTAGGACTTCTGCAACATGAGGCTAGGGAGAGGTGATGAGAAAAACCAGCAACTTGCCTTTCCCAGTATGAAATCTTAATCCCAGAATGATAGCTTTGGGGAGAGAGACCCTTTGTCTTCCTGGTTGTACATGCATCTGGTAGAGTTTTGTAAGAACTGGAGTGGTGGGTAGTGATAGTGGGGTAAAACATGTCTCAAATACCAAAAATTTTCTCTAGCCTTACCAGAATTTAGTAGGTTCTCTTGAATATTTTCCCCCATTTTCCATATGTCCTTAGCACAAGTTCTAGTGACTTTAAATTATAGTTTACCTATTTTTTATCAGATAAAATGTTGTTTTGCTATGCTTCCATTATTCAGGAAGTCCCAGCCATGAAATATTATTGAATAAAGCCAATGCAATTATTGCAAAGCAGCATTCAAAAATTATTTTTACAAATATAAGGGCTATGTTTATTTATCTCTAATAAACCAACTTGTGGGATTAAGAAACACTCTCCATTTCCTTTGTTAAATTTTCTGAAAAATACCTACAACACAATGAATGCTCAAATCGAGTTTCTAGTATGTTTTTCTCTTCCACTTCTGCTCTTGTAATTGTATCAGTGTCAAGAATCAGTGGTGCTTTTTACCTTTCCTGTTTAGGACTAGAGGTACTTCTTATTTTAGTAATATACTATTTCTGAAAAGAAAGTTGTTTCTGTTAAAGATCAGCTGAATTCATTGCAAAATCATAATACAGAAAAGTTATTTTTTAAAAGACTATTTTTAGAGCAGTTTTAGCTTCACAGCAGAATTAAGTGGAAGTTTCAAAGATTTTCCATGTATCTCTTGCTCCCATACATGCATAGCCTCCCCATTATCAACATCCCCCCACCAGACTGGTCCATTTGATACAATTGATGAACCTACATTGGCATGCCATAGTCACCCAAAGTCCATTGGTTACACTAGGGTTCACTCTTGGGGTTGTAGATTCTATTTGGAGAAATGTATAATGACATGAATTCACTATGATAGTATCCACACAGAACAGTTCCACTGTGGTAAGAATCCTCTGTGCTCCACCTATTCGTCCCTCTCCTGACAACCACTGATTTTTTTTTTTCTGTCCCCACAGTTTTGGCTTTTCCAGAATGCCATGTAGTTGGAACTTTTCATTTTGTAGCCTTTTTAGGTTGGTCTCTTTCACTTAGTCCTATGCATTTATGTTTCCTCCATCTCATTTCATGGCCTAATAGCTCTTTTTATTTTTAGCACCGAATAATGTTCCAATGTCTGGATGTATCCCAGTTTGTTCATTCACCTACTGAAATACATCTTGGTTGCTTCCAACCTTTCATAATTAGGAATATAGCTGCTATAAACATCCATGTGCAGGTTTTTGTTTAGACATAAATTTTCTACTCCTTCTAGTAGATACCAAAGAACCAAACAAGCTATATATATATATACAAAACTAAAAACAGAAACAAAAACAACAACAACAACAACAAAACCCTCTACTTTAGTGTTGGCAAGATAACGATAAAAGAATGCTAAAACTTGTGGGTGAAAACATGATGAACAAGAATATATTTAGACAGTCTCAAAGAATCTCCCCATTAAAGTACTAATTAATTACCAAAAAAAGGAATATTAAGTTTACAGAGGAGAGCAAGTGGCCACCACGTAAGGTATAATGGGATAAAGCAACATCATAAGCAACCAGATGGCTAGCACTAGAAGGAGCACTGCATAATTTATGTAGAATTCTCTCAGACAGCATAACCTGAATAAAATTATGAAGACACTTCAGACAAAGCCAACCTGGAGAACATTCTACAAAATTATTGATCTGAACTCATCAGAGGGAGGCAGAGGAACTCGTCCAGATAAAAGAAAGCTAAGGAAAGACATTCAACAGTTGAAGGTAATGTATGATTCTGGATTAGATCCTAGGTCAAGAAAAGCAAAACCTTCCTGACATTATTTGGTCAATATGCAAAATTGGAATATAGAATGTAGATAAAATAGTACGTTAAATTTGTTAAATTTGATAGCTGCATTGTCATTATGTGCAAGAATGTCCTTGTCCTTAGAAAATGCACACTAAAATATTTAGAAGAAACGTGGTGTGATATATGCAACTTTCTCTCAAAAAGCTCAGAAAATATATATATATATAAGATGGGTTGTTATATTCCTAAGTTTGGATCAGCTACCAACATTTTATTCTTTGGCTTTCAATGTCATGAAATATCGCCAAGGTTTTAAGCACTAAATTTTGTCTGTCACCTAGGTTATCTTCTTTTCCTTACAAGTGCTTACCTCATTTATATTGATAAGTTCATCTTCAGCAAGTTCTTCTGGATATATATATAATTAATGGCAGAAGTGTTAACATTCCTACACTCAGATATTTCTTCTGTAACTCCCTTTACGTTTAAATTGAATTTTACTTCCAGTGTCATGAATTTTTATTTCTTGGCTGCACTTTCATCTTTTTCAATTCCCCCTTTTGATTATTCATATTTTCAAGTCATGTGCATTTATTACTGGGAGATAAGGTGGCAACAAATCTATACCACTGTTGTTGTGTGAGTATCGAATAACAGATGTCCATCGGCCAATCACTGCCAGACTTTGAGAGACGTGATGTGATAGGTCATTGATCATGGTGCACATCTGTTATTTATTTAGTGACTTGTGAACTGAAGATCTCCTGGAAAGTTATGAATCACTTTCAGTTGATATACTATGGTAACTAAAATTTAAACCTTTTTTATTGGAGGGTTGGTGTATTTAACTAAACTGTGATAACTGAAATTTGTGCATATCAGAATTGTGCAAAGTAAAAACTCCCTGTGTGTGTTATATGTGTTATGTGTATTTATGTGTAAGTATTTAAAATCAGTGTGTATGCTTATCTGTAATTCTACATGTTAACTAAATTTTCTGATTTAATAACCAATCATCAGTCACGATGTTTTGACTAAGAGGACTACTCTAATATTTTACTTTTCAGAATAGAAATATCTTAGAAAAAAATACACACACACCAAGCAAAAGAAGATCACTGAAGAAAAAGTATTTTAGTTTAGAAATTTATATCTAACTTTGAGATTTGAGAAATCCTTTATTTCAATTCAGAAAAATAAAAGTAAACACTATTCTACCCTCCACCAGGTAGCATTACTTCATAATAAAAATGATTGAGTTCCCCAAAAATACAAACATGCTTTAAAACATAAGAAAAATAAATAGATAGACCGGAGATTGCCTGAAGATTCACTGCCAGATATTATTGAAAGTGCATGGGAAGCTAATTTGTTAACTTGCTCTTTAAAGACCCTTTGACTTATGAAAACACAAGAAGTTTGTAAAATGCTCTCTTGTTTAGATTTGATTTCTGAGCTGCGTTAGTTCCCTAAGGATAATCATTTCTGGCAAGGCCGTAAATAACATTATTTTAAAAAAATAAAAGGTCGAGTGAACAAGGTCCACTGCTCACCCTGCTTTACTTTCCCCGAGATGGTCAGTCTGAGTCAGTTCATCATGTTTTTGGCAATCCCAGTCTCTTGAATCACCAATTACTTGATAATGGTGCCAAAGAACAAATGTTCTTATCTCTATATACCCTGAAAATCTCTGCAATACTTTATGTTTCAGAACTTTAATTTCATATTCTCTCTGAATCTGAGATTTTTGAGTATGATTGAGTCTGCTGTTGCAGCACTCCCAGGACTTGCCCAGAGTTATTGTGATGGGCAAACTATTCATCCTCATTCTGCAGGAACAGAATGTCTTTCGAAAAAATTTCATCAGTCTAATGGCAACTACCCAGGTGGCACAAGTAATCTATCTTTCTGAGAGCTGCTAGAGAAAAGTACTGTGCTTATCAATCCAAATTATGGTAAAAGATGACACAATATTTGCCTATCAACCTGCTCCAGTGTCATATAAGCACAGAATAAGCTTCATTCGTGAATGGTTTTCTAAAATTAAATTAAACAAAATGAAACTCCTTCCCTTTAATTGAGTTTGGGTATTCTGCTGCTTGGAAAGAATAACACATCAGCCAGTTTACACATTAGCAGAAAGCATTTTATAGAAGAAAGGCTTTACCACCCATTGGTAGAAAGATATGGGGCCCTTCATTTATTCAACAAATCTTTTTGTTGAATAAATCTGAAAATGGAAAACTAAAGCAATTGCCCCTGAAAAAGATATAACTTTGGTTGTTAATCATTCCAATCAATAGTTACCTCAATTATTGCAAAGGTTCTGCAAAGGCAAGGGCAGAGCAGGGATGTTCATTGGCTAATTAAATGTATTATGTTCCAATGCACTACTATGTCTTCATTTATACAGATCTCATTGAAAGTAACCAAATACACACTGCTTCAGAAATATTGTAGAATGCATATTATCTCTTTATCACTGTACAATTTCTAACTCGATGGATATCAACAGTACAATTACTATGAAGAGAAGAGTTTGTGATCTGTATTTGGTTATAAAAAGAAAACTTTATACTTTAAAATGGTAAGGATGACTGACACAAGACACAGGAATGAGAGTTTTGACTGAGAAGGTGGCATAATTTTTGAGTTTGACCCATGCTTGGGGAAGATGGAGCTGTTATCAAAACTTGTATTCAGAAGTAAGCAATCTTGAGAAAAAGAGCAATCCTGTAGGCCTCACACTACCTGACTTCAAAATACATACAGTCTCTGACTTACCATGGTTAAACTTAGGATTTTTTGACTTTACAATGGTGCAAAAGCAATAAAGCGTTCAGTAGAAACCATACTTCAAGTATCCATACAATCATTATTTTTCACTTTCAGTGGAGTATTCAATAAACTACATGAAACATTCAAAACTTTATTATAAAATAGGCTCTGTGTTAGATGACTTTACCCCACTTTAAGCAAATGTAAGTGTTCTGAGAACATTTAAGGTAGGCTAGGCTAAGCTATAATGTTTGGTATGTTGGGTGTATTAAATGTATTTTCATCTTATGATATTTTCAACTTATGATAGGTTTATTGAGACTAGAACCATCTTAAGTCTAGAAGCATCTGTATATGTATATATAGACACATAGATAAAATAGGCAATTACTTATATTGATGTCAGAAGTCAAATTTTTCACTGTAAGAAAAAACATAAAAATTATAAAATCAAAAAGGTAAAAAGCCTGTAATGTTAAATTTAAATTGCAATTTTATCTATATACCTTTACTTTTTAAAAAAATTATGTTTCCTAGGTCTACTCATTACAAAATTCAAATGACAATGATAAATCAGGGGCAATAAGAACCTCTGGTGTCAAGATTGCAGACTGAGAGTATCATAATGTTCCACTAAAACATACTAGCTCTTTAGAGAAATGACGGATTTAAGAGTGGGGAAGGAAATATATAAAACTAACCTGGGATATCTTGACATATCAGAAAGCAAGCGAATTATGAAAGACATTGTAAAAGAAGTTCCAAACTGTATAGTTACATAAAACAGGCAAATCAGAGAAGTGTCCACATATATAGGAGCTGATGGGAAAAGGCTGTCAATGACCAAACATGGGATAACTTGATCATCAAGAAGTATAATGAGAGCAATGGATTAAAAATACATAAAATATTTAAATATCATAATATTTTTAAAAATTACCTATTAGTCACTGTTGGAGGTTGCCAGGGTGACAATATTTTAAATATTGGTAAATAAATAGAAAACAATCAGGTATTTATCTTGCCTTTCCTGTGTAGACTATAACTAGTTGATGAAAGAGTGTTCTTTTTTATAGAAAAATCACAGCTAATAAGAGCACAAGTAATGAAAGAATCAGAAAAAAGCACTATTTTAAAAAGTCTAATGAAATTCTGTATATAGGCAATAGTTTTCAATAGTAGCTAAAGCCATTTAAGGAAAGATTGCTTGAGAATTTAAATGATGTTAACAGGTTTATAACATCAGAATCCGTGGATCAATCTTTATAAGTAATATGCCTTCTGGTGTAATATGACAATAAATATACAGCTCTACCTATGAATTACTCCAGCTTCTCCTTCCCCACCCAATAAAAAAAAATTGAATCTGAATCTAATCAAGTCTCTATATCTGTCAAATTTATGGGAAATAAATGGGATAAAGGAATATAGTAAACAACACCAGGAGGCCACCATCCGCAAAATGCAGAATAAGGCAAATTTTATATGAAAATTCACTATTTCCTTCAATATATAATTGGCATTTTAAAGAGGAGAGGGGAACTGTTATGCATTAAAGGATATATAATCTATATACAAAGTATGGGTTTGCTTACATCCTCATATTGGCAAACAAAACATGAAGACATTTTTGAAAGCAATAGATTGTTTGAACATAGATTGGCCATCAGGCAAATTTAAAGAATTTTTCTTTATTTTACTGGATTAAAAAGATGATTATATTATTAAAATTATTTATCTGTTGAAACAATGAAGCATTTGTGAATGAAAAGATGATTTCTGGATTTTTTTTAAAAAATAATCCAGTAAAAAGAAAAAACAATGGAGAAATGTGGATTAAAGCAAGAATGGCAAAATATTGATAACAATTGTAGCTGGATAAGTCCATGGAAGTTCAGTATACTATTCTCTTTAACGTATGTTTAAGTGTTTCCATACATAAAGAACCTAAAAGGGGAAAAAGTGAACTTCAACCTATACAACCTGAAAGTACAGCTGGGGAAAGAAAATTACCCACTTTTCAGTTTTGTACGCCTTTGGAAATTTGTATATTCACTCATGCCGTAGGTTAAATATATATATCTTACCAATAGTTTAATTATTTGAAAAAAAAGGGCATGTTTTAAAGAAGCAACGTTACCACAGAGACAGAGAGGTCTGTGTTCCAAAGTTTTAGAAATAGGTAACAATAATCAAGATCAATGGTTCTCAAACTTCTGGTCCATTTTCACTCCTAAAAATTGTATATGATTCTAAAGGTCCTTTTCTATGTGGGTTATGTCTATGCTTGTTCTATATTAAAAATTAAAACTAAAAAAATTCACATATATTTAAAACAATGACACACTTATTATATGTTTTCACAAATGAACTATTTTATGAAAAGTAACTAGATTTTCAAAATAGTTGATGAGGAGAGTGACATCGTTTTATTTTCCTTCCAGTTTTCCTGCTGTCTGGCTTAACTGAAGATTCTCATGTTGGTTACTCAATGTTGAAATATATTATTTTGCTTAAAGTTGATAAAGAAAATTCAGCTTCATGTAGTTTGAAAAGGGAAGATTATTTTCATAGCCTTTTCAGATAATTGTGGCTATTCTTCTTTGATACTGCCCCAAAACTAGATAAGCCATAGTTTCTTAAAGATCAGGTGCAATGTGAAATTAACCCTTCATACTCAGTGACGATGAAATCCATTTGTCTCTCTTGCACATTGAATGGTTCTTTTACTGATGCCTAAACTTTATTATTTTACTAATTGGCCATTTGGAAAATATTTGTTCATTGAGTGATGTATATTTCTCACTGGTGACACATTGTATTCTACAATATTAAAAATCACATATAATATAGCCACCAATCTCATCAAAGAAGGCCAAACTCATAGTGACAGATTCAAATGTTTAAAAATTCTAACTTTTACTTAAAATCACAAATTTTATCATGGTCAACAAATACTATCATTGTTTTCCTTGAAATGGCAGGCTTATCACATTTCTTTTCAATAAAATGTCTGACAAGTAAACACGTCTGTACAACCATAGTTTGTGTGTCAATTGTTCTCTCAGGTAAAGTGGTGTTACACACACACACACCCATAGCAGCTCATTCAACTGAAAACTCAAGGAATCACGTAAGTGTGTTTTTTAGAGACAATCATTATACTTTGGTATGCATCAGAACTGCTTTAAGAATGCATCACATTTCATCAAATGGAATACTAAAAGCATCTACTCAAGCATTGAAAAAAATCAATAATTTTTAGTGCTTCATCAAGGACATTATTAAGTGTAACCAGAACTTTAATCATTATGAGGGCATGGCAGTGAATATACTGACTACTAGTACATTTTGGTGCTATTGCCTTAATTCTTGCTAAAGTGTCAGCAATTTTACCTACCATTAATGTAAATAGCATGGTGAAAAAGGCAAATAATATTTATGAAAACAGTTTTCACTTTATGAATCCCAAAACTGGTCTCAGAAACCTCCATGGGTCTTCAGGCCATGCTATGAGAACTGCTAGTCAGCTTTGACCATATTACTTCAGTTCCCTTACACGTATGATACAATTGTTAACAATTTTAATATAGGTAACTCATTGGAATTACTGTGCAGGACTCAGAGAAGTGCAGTATTTTAAAGCTTATTAAGTCATTAACAGCCTCAGTCAGGCCAATAAGTTCATATGTATAAGTTTCCAGAGGAAAACATTCAACCTATAATAAATTATTTATTCATTTTGTTTTGATTTTCTCAAAAGAAAATTTATAGAATGCTACATTTTACCTTCCGGGCATTTGAAAACTTTTAAATACATTTATATAAAGCATATAATGATGCTGAATTATCTTTTTTAAAATTTTTAGATAATTGGATACTCACATGGAGCTGTTAGAAATAATAGAGAGAGAGATCATGTGTACTCATCACCAAGTTTCCCTCAATGATAACACCTTGCAAAACTATAGCACAGTATCACAACCAGGACGTTGACATTGATGCTGTGAAGATACGGAATATTTCCATCACCTCGAAGATCCCTCCTGTTGATTTTTTGTAGCCATACTCATTTCATCCTTCTTAATTCCTGGTGACCAATAATCTATTCATTTCCATAATTTTGCCATTTCAATAATTTTATATAAACAGAATCACACAATGTGTAAATTTTTGCAATTAGCTTTTTTTGCTTAGCTTAGTTTGCTGGAGATTCATCCAGGTTGTTACATGCATCAGAATTTTTTTCCTTTTTATTACTGACTAGTAATCTACAGTATGGATATACCACAGTGTGTTGAATTAATCCATTGAAGGATATTCGGGTTGTTTTCTGTTTGAGACTATTAAGAAAAAAAAAAAAGCTGCTATAAACATTCATGTACAGATATTTAAAGACAAGTCTTTACGTCTCTGAGATAAATGTCCAACACTGCAATTGCTATGTGATTTGGTAGTTACATACTTAGTTTTTAAGAAACTGCCAAACTATTTTTTTAATGGCTGTACTATTTTATATTCCTACTAGCAATGTGTAAATGATTTAGTTTTTCTGCTTTCTTTCCAGCATTTGGTGTTGTTATGATTTTTTAATTTTAGTTCTTCTGATTGGTGTGCAATAATATCACTTTGTGGTTTAATTTACAAGTATTAGATCATTGTTATAGTCCCATAGGTTTCTGAGGCTCAATTTACTTTTTCCAGTCAATTTTCCCTTTGTTGTTCAGATGAATAATTTCACTTTTTTTCCTTGTAGTTTACTAGTTTTTCCTCCCTCCCCTCTGTTTTGCTGTTGTACCCATCTACTGAACTTTTTATTCTCAATTGTTCTTCTCTCCATTTGTTTTTCCTTGATATCTTCCATTTCTTTACTAAGACTTTATTATTATTATTGTTTTTATTTATTTTTCTAAAGCTTTCTATTTGTTTTAACAATGTCAATAAATTCTTGATGCAGCATTTTTGCCATGAGTTCTTCAAATCCATTGTAATGGCCTCATTACTCCTGAGCAATGATGAAATCCTGATTCTTTGGTAGACCTCCTCTGAGACCACCCTAAAGGGAAGAGAAAAGGGCACCTCACTACTTATGACCTCTATAGGTTAGAGCCGTAATTTCAAAAGTCACAATCCTGGATACCATAATCTCAAATGTTGAAATTCCAGAAGATCAAAATCCCAAAAATATCATTCTAGAAAAAATGATATTACAAATTTTTAAAAGACACTTATTTATATCTTTAAAGGGGGTTTATTTGAGAAACATAAAAGCACAACAGAACACTTTACAGGCCACTTTACACAATAAAATAGGCAATAATAACATATTTTTGTAAGCATAAACAGTCTCAAGGGTATAAGTTATGAGCAGACAAACTATATTCATAAAGATATAGGTCAAAATAAAATTGTATACATCCATATCACTGTGGTTGGCAGTTGTGTGTACTCAACTTTATATTATAATAATTGCAGTTTTTATATTATATTTTATATTATAATAATTGTCATCTGAAATAGTGTGACAGACAACCTAAGTCTTTTGACAAGATCAATCAAAAACTGTGATGGGTTACCACCACATATGCAGTTGCCCAAAGAGTAGAGCTCTCTAGAAATGTTATCTTTCACAAATGCAGATGGACAAAAAGAACATCTCTTCGTTTATTAAGGAAGTTTCAATATTTTTACATACACACACAGTGCATGAACACAAAATTAGCTTTGTGATAATGCACTTTTGTGGAGTCAAATTTGAAAAAAAAATGCATAAAACGTATTAAAACTCTCTTAAAGTCTTCATTGTACAATTTATACCTCCAGTATTGGAAATGATGCAAGGATGAAAGACAGCATAGCAAAGTGTTACAAAAAAAAAAAAAAAAAAAAAAAAAAGCTGACAATTTAAAATAATAGAAAAAACCTTAAAAAAATAAAAAACAGAAAAATTTTAACCTTCCCCCCAAAAAAATTGACATGTGATAAGGTGTATTACAGGGACAGACAATGGGTAATTTGCACAGAGGTTGTCTGTAAGAGCTGACTGACTTTCACTATCATCAACTATATTTTGAAATCTTACATCATCACAATGAAGAGCCGCTTTTTTTTTTTTTCAGGGTATGGCTCTCCTCAGAGAATACATTCACATTCATATTCTAGTTGGTGCTTCTCTTTTAGAAATTCTTCCATGATTTGTTGTACACCAAGCATTCCCTTTTAAATGTTCCCATCTTCTGTGCTATGTTTCTATGCTGTTTTCAGCATATGAAAATTTATTTTGCATATACTCAAATAATGACCAAAAATTTGGTGAAAACAGTACTGGGATACAACAGCAATACCACTGCATGTTTTCTTATCCTGCCAGGCACATAATTACTTTGTAATTAGTCACTTCACTGGTTTCTTCAGGCAAATGTGGCTTTAATTTATTGAAAGCTCCCAGAATTTCTTCAGGTGGAAGGAAAGCCAATGCAGACAAATAAAGCATTTTTAAACTGAAGTTTTTGTTGTCACCCTATAGCATGGCCAATCCACTCATTTGAATTTTCCATCAAATACATTGGGCTGAATGAGGAAAAAACGTTATTGGTAACACATTGAAATTCACTTTTAAAAATGTTGATTCCACCTAATTGCAAATCTGTCATGGTTCGGGGATTCAAGTGAAATCTATTTTTTTTTTCTGTGAAGTCCACCAAATCTTCAAATAAGCAAATGAATACTTTACCTTTTCCAGTCATCAATACATAAATGAGCAGATAAGTCCTAAAATGTTCAGGTACAACAGGTGCATGAATTGCATATAGTTGATTAAAACTCGAGGAATTTTTAAAGTGCCATCTATTAGCCAAAGTGCAACACATGCTAGTTTTTCTGTTAGGATTAGTGGTAAATATAAGAAGCCCATATATTTTGACAGTCAAATCCCTAACCAAGAATAGTTCACCATTTGATGTGTTTTGTAACACGTAGAGGAACCTCTCTATCAGCAAGTGTCTGGTTCAAAAGTCACTGAGCTTATGGAATTCTTTTTATTCTCAGATGAAGGACATTTTTTTGAAGGTAAGCATGGTGCTCTGTTGAAGGGGCAGAAGTCATACACAACTGAATAATTTGGCAAGGAACATTCCTTGTGTTCTTTGTCTGCATTTTCACTTCTTCTGTGATCTTTAAAACACTAGAGACATTGAAGGCAGATCTTCCCCATCTAGTCTACTCAGAGTCGCACACTAATCTCTGAAAATATCCTCACAGACACACCGTAAATGATATTTTACCAGGTTTTTAGGTCTTCCTTAATCCAGTCACATTCACACCTAAAATTAAGTGCACAAGTGCACCCCTTGTCAACTTGACACCATACACAACTTCTTAAATTGTATTCTAAATGAAACAGTAACAAGGTAATAGTTCTATTTAACATGATGCAACTATCACCATACTTGACCCCATACAGAACTTCTTAAATTATATTTAATTTCCAAATGAGACAATAACAAGGTAATAGTTCTATTTAACATGATGCAACTATCCTGTGCACCGAAAATGCATGAATTCCTTCCCCAAGATTTGACTTTTAACATTAGGGGTTTTAATTCTTCAGGATTGTGATTTTTGGGAGATTAGTTATCAGGGATTTTAAACTTCAGAAATTTTGATCTTTTGGGATTCTGATCTCTCAGGATTTCAACATTGGGGATTTCAGCATTTGGGGTTTTGCCTTTCAGAAACATGATCAGAGCCCAGTTTTTACTAATTCCAGGAGTGGGGGTGCCCTATGGGGCCAGAAAGGATGAAAGTCCCAGCTCCATACTTGGCCTTCTCTGAGACCACACCTATGGTACTATTAGGGGTGCCTCCTTACAGCCCTGCAAGACTGGATCCCTCCTCAGACTTTGCTGGCATGGGTGGAGGTGACGGCTTAGGAGTTTTTGTTTTTGTTTTTGTTTCACGTGGGGTTTCTGTTTAAAAGTTTCCTGTCTTGCTAGGCTGCCTCCTTCCCATTTCTTTGGCAAGAATAAAAGACTTTGGGGGAGGCATTTTTTTATCTGCACTGGTTCATATTTCTAGGTTGCTGGCTTCTTTAGCTCCCTGTCTGCAGTATATGATGAAAAACAAAACCCAGTGAACTCAACAACCATATCATGTCTCAGGTCCCAAGGTCACTAGTTTAGTGGGTCTACCTTCTTCTCTTCATGGTTCAAAATCTTCTTTTTCCTTTACACACAATACCAGGGAGTTTTAGTTATACTTAGCAGGAAGAACACGGAAAAGTAAGTCTGTTCCATATCCCTAGAAGTGAAAATCCAAGGCATGAAATTTTGTAACTATGGCATATGACATATGTAGATAAAATCACTTTTCTCTATTCTATCTGCATGTTATATTCTTGTATTCAATTTAGTCCATAAATAAGTACTCAACAATTAAAAAACATTGTATTGCTTTTATTGGCTATTACTTATCCTGAATACAAGTATACGCTTTGTATTAACTTGAACTTTACATTGAGTAAATAACGTTCCCTACAGGTATTACTTCCTCTATCTTCTGCAATATTTATGAATAGTAGCCTTTTCCTCCCCCCTTTTCACTTAAAAAATGCTTAATTTCTCTCCTCCTCCCTGGCATGAATGGTTTCTGATTAACTTATTTTGAAAAAGAATTAAGAGAGGTAAGATATAAAGGAAAACATGGTTATTGAATACCCCTCCTCACTGGTTACAGCCTAAGTGGAATCCCTGATAATTAATTCAGTGCTTTGAGTGCTTTTCTAAGGATTTAATTATGCCTCACAGATAAAGAAATATAAAAAAATTATGAATAAGGTAATACAATTTTATTGAACATTAAAAATGGAGCAGATCCAGAATCCTTTTCTTTGTAGCTTAGAGTAGATGCAGACAGATATACATGTAGTTGGAGAAAACAGAAAAACAGAAATGGTACTTGAGACTTACCTGAAGGACTCTCTGAGAGTTAATATTTTAAGTCAGTAGGGACATATGTGAGCCATCAGTTCTTAAAACACTGAACCATGCTCTCTAGAAGCCATGTTAGTATGTCAATCTAACATCGGTGGCTAATTTCTCATAATGAAATAATATATCAAAGAAACATGGGGCAAATACCCCTTGAAACAGAACAAGGAAGGAAAGCATTCAAGTTTGTTGCACTATCTGCAAACACTTGCGGATCAGAGCACTAGATGACAACACCAATTGTGATGGTTAATACTGAGTGTCAACCCGATTGGATTGAATGATGGAAAGTATTGTTCCTGGGTGTATCTGTGAGGGTGTCACCAGTGGAGGTTAACATTTGAGTCAGTGAACTGGGAGACACAGAACCACCTTCTATCTAGGTGGGCACCATCTGATCAGCTGCCAGCACAGCTAGGATGAAAGCAGGCAGAGGAACGTGGAAAAACTACACTGGCTACGTTTTCTGGCCTCCATCTTTCTCCCGTGCTGGATGCTTCTTGCCCTGGAACATCATACACTCCAAGTTCTTCAGCTTTTGGACACTTGGACCTACACCATTTGTTTGCCAGGGGCTCTCAGGCCTTCGGCCACAGAATGAAGGCTGCGCTGCGGGCTTCCCTATTTGTAAGGCTTTGGGACTCAGACTGGCTTCCTTACTCCTCAGCTTGCAGCCAGCCTATTGTGACACTTCACCTTGTGATCATGTGAGTCAATACTCCTTAATAAATTCCCCTTCATATGTACATATATCCTATTAGTCCTGTCCCTCTAGAGAACCCTGTCTAATACAATTTCTCTTAATGAAATAATATATCAAAGAAACATGAGACAAATACCTCTTGAAATAGACCAAGAAAGGAAAACATTCAAGTATGATGCACTATGGTGTGCTATCTGCAAATGCTTGCAGATCAGAGCACTCAATGACAACACCAACAAGAAATGAAATGGAGAAGACATGCTGTAGAGGGAGAAAGGCCACAGGAAGTGCTGAAATGGAAATGGTGAAGCACTGCTGTTTGGTTTTGTAGCTACACACATTGGTGTCACTTTGAACAAAGCCCTTATCTTCTTAGTTTTTCTGAGTACTATTTACTTTATCTGTTAAATAAAAAGCATGCCTGTAATTTTAAGATTACAGTACTGTAATGTACCCTGTTAAAGCTACATGTCTGGCTTCATAGTCTTACACCAGATCTGAATAATAAAAGCTAGATATGTTTAAGTAACAAATGGGTGATTATTATTTATGACAGGGAAAGAATGAGTAGGAAATTCCATCAAACTTGATTCCAGTTGAAACTTGATTATCACATTAATGCCTTGATCAAAGGCATTTCCACTCAAAATTGTCTCCATTTTATAACATATAAATTTAAACATTATTTAACAGGCAAAATCTAAGAAGAATTCACAAAATGTCACTTCCTTGGTGAAATGTATACATTGAGGAGAATTAGCCAATCTGCCTACTCTTCTCCAGGCCTCCACTAAAGCAGTGCTTCTGCAATGGAAGCCTGGTGCAAAAACAGCAACAAACAAGTTTGACAAACAAAGAGCTTGCCAGTCCGGGGGAGGTGAAATGCAGAAGAATCTCCACTTTTGTAAACCTCTATCTGGAGAAGCTTCATTTCTATTTTAAGCAACTTCTAACCTACAATAGGGCCACAAGAGTTTCTTTAAAATTTCTGGACAAGAGTAAAAATAAAAACAGAATTCAACTATTGAATGACTGAAAAATTATAAATGAAGAAAAGAGAGCAGAACACAACTTTTCACAGCAACATATTTCCAAATAAGGGTTTTGCATTCAATCTTTAGTAATGTTTAGTTTGATTTTTGAGGTCTTAAATTATGTTTCATGCTGCCTTTACAAAAATACTTTCTTAATTTTCTACTAGAGTGGGAGGCAAAGAGTACAACTTTCAAGAAGTGGAAAATGTAAGGTCTAGATATATAGTTCTACCAGAGTCAGATCAGAAAAGCCTCATCCTTATAATTACTAAGCTAGCACTTGAGAAGTGCTTTCATACCCATGCATGAATATGCTCACAATAAAAACTAGAAATAAGCATTTCATAGGTAAGAAAACAGGATTAGATTACTCGTTTTACTTGCTTATATTTAGCAGCTAACAAGTAATGGGAAAATGATTCAAACCTAGGACTCAGTATTCATAAGAGACAAATGAGACTGGAGAAGAAAAACTGAGGCAAAGCAAAAAGCCATTTGATATCTTCTCTTGCAATTTATGTTCTTCCTATTCCATAATTCTGACCCTATTATCAGACTCTGTTGTGCAAGTCAATTTTAGTGATAGATATAATTTTGGAGACTACTGAAGTCTTGTTGTTTCCTTACCTGCAGCTATATAGTGGAATTCCATCTGTTTGTTGAATTGCAGTTAGTTTCGTTTCTTGAGTTTAACATTTTAATCCCAGCATGAATGGATTATATTTGAGAGATCGAGCATTTGTAGTTTTATCAGGTTTTACTTCAAGGTGGCATAGAGGAATAGGAAGAGAGAGAATGAGATTACTGAGATCACGAGGTAGGAGTCGGTGAAGGGGTGTGTATTCAGGAACTATGACCTCTAAGTATGACCTGTATCAAAATCATTCTTAAATTTTTCTATATCCTTTTAGTTCTCAGCATAGAAAAACATACTATGAGTAATAGCAGAGGAAGATATGAGAATTTCAGGGCTGCACTATTTTAAAAGTTTACTTTTTAACTTTTTTTACAAGTAAAGAGTATACTAACAGTATCCAGAAGATCAAAGAACTTTCTCTTCCTTGAGTTACTACTTTTGTTCAAGTGTTTAAAAGTAGGCAAAAAGGGCATCTATCTTTCTGAGATAGATGTTAGTCTCAGTAATTGCTACCAGTTTGAACTCAAATGCCTGACAGGCGCAGTGCTAAATTCCTCAAGTGCTTTAGCATATATTATCATTTCAACAACCCTGTAAAATAAATTATCCATAATCACCATTTTGTACATGAGGAAACTGGAACCAAAGAGGCATAACTCTTGCTATTGTCATTTAATTATTAGCATGATTGTCTTAGTCCATTAAGGTTGCTGGGTGCCTTATAAACAACTAAAATATATTTCTCATAGTTCTGGTGGCTGAGAAGTATAAGATCAAGGCACCAGCCTATTCAATGTCTAAGTAGGGTCCAATCCTGATTCATAGATGGCAGTCTTTTCACTATAAACTCACATGGGGGCAAAAGGGGTAAGTGGTATCTCTCAATCCTCTTATTATAAGGGCTCTAATCTCAGTCATGAGGGGTTTGCCCACATGACCTAGCAAATCACATCCCAAAGGCCGTACCATCTAACACATCATCATCACCTTTACCAACAACCCAAGGTGATGGTGATGTATTACATGGTGAGGCCTTGGGGGTTAGGATATCAACATATAAATTTGAGGCAGAAACAAACATTCAGACTATAGCATAATTTGAGCCATAGTTTGAGCCGTATCTTTAAGAATCCAAAGCCCTAGAGATGAACCTCTGCATTTAGAGTTTTCTTTGCAAAGAGGGTGGAAGGGATAAAAACATAATAAAATCAACAATACTTACAGTTTATATAAAGTGAGTGTTAATTTTATGTCAAGCGCTGTATCAAACATTATACATGAAGTTTTTTTAAAAAATTCCCACAATTTTATGAGGTAAGAATTATAATTTTGCCATTTTGATGATGAGAACATTGAGACAGAGAAAGTGAATAACTTTTCCAAATGGTAGGACATGAAATCTAAAAAAGATAGCTTAATTCTAAAAGTTGTTCTCCTACCAATCAGGACTCAAAATGGATGATGGTTCAACAGGGGCGTCTCAACAGGGTGCTGTTATGATGGCATTCTTGCAGAAAGCTTTGCATGTAATTGATAAGTTTCCAATTTCCACTGCTGTTAAGATAAATCTTTTTCTCTGTGTAGATTATGAAAATTGTGACACCTTTGAGAACTAGTAATAATGAAAACTTTGATCATATTAACTGAGACTATATTATAGAAATTCAGTTAACACCCAAAATGGATGTTTTGTTATGTGATCTTCTCACTCCTGACATTTTTCTGAGATGGTCTTGTTTTTATAGTTAGAAGTAAACTTTTATTTTAAGGATCAGTTTTTTTAATTGGGCATAGAAAGTTTAAAATTGACTGGTCTGTTTGAAATTTTATGCAGCTCTCATTCTAGGATTAAAAATCTTAGGAATCATTTATAATACTCCTTGTCAGGGATTTCTCCTCAATTAGATTCCTGGGAATGCTTTCCCTCTGCCCTCCTCCTCAATGCCTGGTCCCCTTCTGCTTCATCATTCAATAATCAGATATCAAGCGATGACTCACTCTGCCCAGATAGACTGACCTGGTACCCTGATAACTTCTTCTCACTCATGTTATTTATAATTTCATTCATCTTTGCTGCAATTTTTCTGGGCAGAGATTTGGAGTCCCTACAAATACAATGCTGTACATCAGGGAATTATTCTTAGTGTCCTTATTAAGAAGGATTCATTTATTACACAAAAGTTATGCTATTTCAGTCCAAATATAGAGAAAATGTTCTCTTTATACTAGAGTATATTTATTATCAACAAGCCAATAAGTTACCCAAATGTAAGCTAGCGCTAGTTCTAGTTACTACATTGATTCTCGTGTTTACATAAATTTGTAATAGCTGTAAACAAAACAAAGATAATAAATAAAATAGCTTACAAGAAAATTAATTATTTCTTTTAGTTGGTTAGGCTTTTTTGTTGCTAAAGCACACTAGCTTACTAGTATCATGATGCTACTCTAAGGAAGGTCGAATTTATGGCTCTCTAAATTATGGTTTTAATGTAAAATACACAAGAACCTAAAGGTGCGATTCTGGCAACTTTGCCCCCTTTGCATTATTAATCTAATCATCTTTATCTCTTTGATTAGTCATACACTTGATTATTTCAGTGTGAGCTGGCAAAGGCAAGCAATCACTCTAAAAGTACCGGTGAAAAGTAACATCATACCTAGTAATGGCAACTATGAAAATGCTTTCTGTCTATTTGCCAAAAATGTGGAATGAAACCCTTAACTGGGATTAAGTGTCACTAGCATATACTGAAAAGTGAATGCGTATTGGTTCATCTATATTAGATTAAAGTTCTATGAGTTCATTTCTTTATCTGTTAAGATGGGAATAATTAATTCACGTTAAACTATAGTTGAGATAAGAAGTTACTATATATATTATGTATATATACATAATATACATATATATTTATATGAAAGTTATATTTTGTGTATATATACATATTATGTATAAATATACATAAATATACATATATATTTATATGAAAGACATCTGACACATTATAGATTATCTGGAATTAGTTCTCATTGGTCCTCTACTCAGCTCAAGCATTACTTAACACACACTTTAATGCTTATCAATTTTAAAGGCAGGGAAGGTCATTGCAATACCTAACTTTAAAATTAAATCATATTTTTTGGAATTATTTTAAGACTTTCCTCCTATCAGTTCCCAGTCTTATCCACTGTGGTATAAGCTGAGATAGCAAAGACATTGAACAACTCAAACATAACCCAGAAGTGCTGCGTTTTGTTTGGAAACCAATCTATCTTTCCAAAAGTCCTTGAATTTTACAAGCATAGTCATATATCTAATTGAAAGTGATTTGGAAAAATTCAATTTGATATTTAAAGAGAGTCATTAAATGTAAATATTAATGATCCACTGATTTCACTTGTGATGCACTTACAGAAGCCCAACAAATTGGAAACTGAAAAAAAAAGATCTCACATTTGATAAGGTGTCATCTGCATTAGTAATCTTTTAAACACAAATTTAAAAGGCAAAAATCTAAATTTATTTAATCAAGCAATCTTGAGCTTTTGGTTTGTTTGTTTGTTTTAATTCTTCTATTTAAATTCAGTTCTAGAAGTGTCCTGAAGATACATTTATGATGGTGGAAAAACTACCCTGATTTATGGTGATTTATATGTATAGTCCATAAGCAAACACCTGGAAAACTAAGTTAGCTTTGATTGTAATTTGGGAAGATAAATTGATCTATCTTCACGTTTTTTTTATCTTAAAATTGTGAACATCTGTGTAACTGAATTTTTGGTTCCCAAAATGAAGAAATGAAAATAAGTTTTCTAAAGCAAGAGTAAAGGAAAATTATACAGACATAATTTTAAGTTACTCTGTTATAAGAAGTTTCCATTTCATTTCCTTTGGCACATTATCTAACTGATTTCCTAATAGACATAATAACTCCTTTAGCACTATTACTATATATAGTGGCAGTTTATTTTGGCCACTGATATCTTTCTTTCTCCTTCAAATCTCAGCACCCAGGTCTCCCAACTCGCATGCTATCACTGAAAAATGCACTTCAAGCCACTGTGGAGGCTCCTTAATTTGCTATTGTGGTTAATCCCTACATAAGAATGAAAATACTTGTTATTTCCAGATACTTATTGTTATTCTTTCTGAATCCATGTACTCTTCCTTCTGTCATATCATTGTTTTCCAGTTCACTCACTTGTTTTTGTTATTTTTATTGTCCATAAGGATGAATCCATTCATACTTCTGCTGCTCTCTTACAAAGACTCCCTGATAAAGAGAAATATTTAGCATGGTTGTTAGCCACTGAGTATTTGAGGAAAAAAATCCTGAAAGTTATATTTTTAAAGGGAATAGTAGAACAAGGAGACTTTCTCTCTTTTGGCTTCGTGGATAGGTCTGGAGAGAAAATTATCTAATTTATTCAAAATAGCACTGATTCTATGAACAAATTTCTCATAGTTGATAAGAGAAAAAAATAGGATGCAGGAGTACAATTCTGTTTTGAGAATGATTTTAATGGCACAATATTTTTTCTGTATCAGGAGGTAATATAAACCTAAGATCCTGATAAATATTACTCTGAAGCACAGGCAGACAATTTTTTAAAAGGATACATACCCACGTATTTACATATATACCCTGAAATATATATCCTGTCAGCTAACAGGAATGAGAAGCAATGAGCCCAGTAGTAATGAGAACACCTAGCACCTAGTTCGCAGTTTCTAATACCGTTCTTCAGTAAAAGGAACCAAAGATTCTTAGAGAAATGACTGATACCAGGGCTGGGACAATTAATGTGCAAAAAGAACCTGGAGTATGTGGTAGTTCAGAAAGTAAATAAGGGCTTTAAAAAGAACCTCCAAGATAACAAAAATATCTTTATAGTGATGAAAGTAAAGAACTATTACTTCTATCTCCTTAAAATCTCTTCTATCTTCATATAATGTACTTACACTATGACTACAGTAGTGAATACATGATTTATATCATGTCAATTGTTTATTTCATTGGATCGATTATGACTCGTGTTTGCATGAGCTAGAAAGCCCTTTCAAACTATCTTCAGTAAAAATTGGAATTTTTAGGATTATATAAATTAAGAAAAAAACTCATCTCTGTTCTATTGAATCCAAAAATTAATCATAAGATATATAATAACCCTGATTTTAGCAAGATCTTTCTCTCTCTCACCTCTTTTTCAATGTCTAACTTAAAGAATCCTTGTCTTTGTCCATTTTGTGTTGTGGTAACAGAATACCACAGACTGAATATTGTATAAAAACAGAAATTTATTCCTCACAATTCTGGAGGCTGGCAAGTCCCAGATCAAGCGAAGGTGCCAACCTCTTATGTGGACTTTCTTACTATAACCTCACATTTTGGCAGGTGGAAGGCAAGAGAGAATAAATACAATCACCATACCAGAGACTGCAGTCACCACCCAATGCCCTGCTTATTAGAAAGCATGACACTCTTGCCTGTGGCTCTGAAGAAGTGGCTCAGAGATTTTTCCTGGTTGGAGAGGTAGAATAGGGAGTTCCAAAGTTATCCCCAAAGGAATTGACTTTGTTTGAAACACAATGTGAGGAATTTCAAAGTTAAGGTTAGTCTTCAAAGCAAGGGATATTTTGGTGGTAAGCAATTATAACAGTTTGGTAGCACCATTAGGCCAATAAGCCAAACCACAGAGTATCCATTTGACTGGAGAAAACCAGGGAAAGACAAAGCTAGGAAGAATCCTTCTAGAGCCAGAACAACAACAACAAAAATGGCCTCAAAACTACCTCTGCAAAAGGACTTAAAATTAAGTTGGACTATGGAGCAATTTATCATCCTGAGATTCAGGCGAAAAACTGGCCAAGCTTAATGTCATGGCATGATACAAACAGAGGCAGACAACTCACAAGATCAGAAAAAAGAAAAAGAAAGCACTGTTAAAATCACTGTGATTTTAGTGTGTCTATATGGATGCTCAAGGCTGTTTCCTCTAAAGGGTGACATTAGAAATAGTGAAATATGACCCCTATATAGTAAAAAGAGAAAACAACAGAAACTGTTTGCATAAATGCCGAATATTAGATTTAACACAGAAAGACATCAAAGAAAGTCTTATACATATGTTCAAATAACTATGTACATAGAAATAAAGGAGGATATAATGGCAATATCTCATTAATAGAGATTATTAATAAACAGATATTTATTGTTAAAAAACCTGAATATTAGAGTTGAAAAGTGCTATAACTGAAATGAAAAATTTACAAGGCATGCTCAACCTTAGATATAAACTGGTAGAAGAAAGTATCCTAAAACCTGAAAGTAAATCAGCAGACATTTCACTGTCTAAAGAACAGAGAAGTAATAAGAAGAATAATTAATGTACCCTAGAGAAATGTGGGAAATTATTAAAGTAGCAGCATAGACATAACACAAATACAAGAAAGACAAAGGGAACAGGAAAAGAGCAAAGATATACGTTTTCTAAAATAATGGTTAAAATGTGTAAACTCTTATTAGAAACATCAATCTACACATCCAAGATGTTCAACAAAATCCATGTTAAATAAACACAAAGACATCTATATCCAGACACATTATCATAAAAATGCTGAAAGACAAAGACAAAATCTTGAAAACAGCAAGTAAAAAGGACTCGTCATATTAAAAAAAAAAAAAACAATTAACAGCTGACTTCTCATCAAACACAAATAACATCAGAAGGCAGTGGGATAACATATTCAAAGTGCTGAAAATGTAATGTCAACTAAGAACGTTATTTTCAACAAAACTATCTTTCTCAAAATTAAAGGTATAATAAAAAGTTTCCCTAGATAAACATAAATGGAGAGAACCTGTTGTTAGCAGAATCACCTTATAAGAAAGACTAAAAGAAGGACAAGCTGAAAACAAGTGATTCCAGATAGTAATTCAAATCCATATTAAACAAACAAATAAAGACAGCTGGTAAAGGTTATTATATGATTTACAAATAACAGCAAAAATGCATATTTATCTACTTTCTTCTCTCAACTTATTTAAAAAGCAATTATTTAAAATGAAGTGTACAAAATAGAATTTCGAGGCCTATAATGTATGGAAACATATTTAACTATAACAGGGAAAGAACCTTTGTGAGAACAAAGCTGAGTAATCAACTTTATACTTGATCTGCTTTCTATTTTTATTCATAATTGTAACAATATATTGTTGGGTTTGCAACATATATAGATATAACATTAGTAACAACAGGGTGGTAAGAGAGAAAATAGCTAGATAGGAACCAAATTTCTGTGTCTCCCTAGAATTCAGTCAGTATACATGTGAAATACATTTTGATAAATTAAGCTGCATATTATGGCTCTAGAGCAACAACTAAGAAAATAACTCAGTAGAAATAACAGCAGAATACACATTCTTCTCAAATATACATGGAGAGGCTTACAGTCACTGTAAGAGAAAGACATTGGTAAGCTGCAGACATTTTCCCAGACCCAGGACCAAGAACAGGATGCCATTTTTAATCAGAGCACATACAAAGTCAGCTACTCTTTGATGACCTGGCCATGTGGCCATGCAGGCATTTAAGTCTCGTGCCAGAGATTGGAGGACCTGCTCTGGAGTGGGATAGAGGCCTCTATATCCAGAACCGGGGAAAAAGCCTCAGCAGCAGATGCTAGAATTGTGCTCTCTGCCATCAAGATCTTGGGGAAGAAGGAGAGCTGCTATAGCTGCAGTTTCTCCTGGGCAGCAAAATTGCAGCCAGAGCCAGCCGGGTGACCTGGAACTGTCTATGTGTGCCGTTGGTTAGTGCCCTAACCAGTTCCCCTGTGACTGTGGTGCAGCAGGGCTCTCTCCATTCCATCCTAGGCAGAAATACACGCATTTAGAGTACCTGCTTGCTTGGATCAGTAGCCTGACATTCAGGATATTAGATCTTTGTCAGATGCCTAGTTTGAAAATATTTTCTCCCATTATGTAGGTTGTTTGTTTACTCTATTGATAGTTTTGTTGTGCAGAAACTCTTTGTTTAAAAAGATCCCATTTGTGAATTTTTGTTCTTGTTGCAATTGCTTTTGAAGTCTTCATCATGAAATATTTGCCAGAGCTGATGTCCAGAATAGTATTTCCTAGACTTTCTTCTGGAATTTTTATAGTTTTAGGTTTTACATTTAAGTCTTCCATCCATATTGAGTTAATTTTTGTATACAGTGAAATGTAGGGGTCCAGTTTTAATCTTCTGCATGTAGCTAGCCAGTTATCCCAGCACTATTGATTGAATAGGGAGTTATTTCCCTATTGCTTGCTACTACCAGCTTTGTTGAAGAACAGGTGTTTTTAGGTATGCTGCTTTATTTCTGAGTTCTCTATTGTGTTCCATTGGTCTACATGTCTATTTTTTTTTTACTAGTAGTGTGCTGTTGTAGTTACTGTAGCCTTATAGTACAGTTTGAAGTAAGGTAGTGTAATGTCTCCAGCCTTGTTCTTTTTGCTTAGGATTTCTTTGGCTATTTGGGCTTTTCGTTGGCTTCGAATGATTGTAGAACAGTATTTTTCTAATTATAATTCTAATAATAATTAATTATCAATTAATAATGATTAATTCTAAAAACATCATTAGTAGTTTGGTAGGAATAGCATTGAATATGTAAACTGCTTTGGGCCGTATGGCCATTTTAACAATATTGATTCCTCCTATACATGAGCATGGAGTGGTTTTCCATTTGTTTGTATCATGTCTGATTTTGCTCAGCAGTGCTTTGTAATTCTCATTGTAGAGCTCTTTTGCCTCCCTGTTTAGCTGTATTTCTAAATATTTTATTCTTTTTGTGCTTGTTGTAAGTGGGATTGCATTCTTGATTTGACTCTCAGATTTGATGTTATTAGTGTATAAAAATGCTGTTGGGTTTTGATTGATACATTGATTTTGTATCTGCAACTTTGCTAAAGTTGTTTATCAGACCTAAGACCTTTGGGCAGAGATGATGGCATTTTTTAGGTATAGAATTGTATCATCTGTGAAGAGAGATATTTTGACTTCCTCTCTTCCTATTTGAATGGCTTTTATTTCTTTCTCTTGCCTGATTATTCTGGCTAGGACTTCCACTACTATGTTAAATAGGAGTGGTGAGTGGACATTTTGTCTTCTTTCTGTTCTCACAGGGAATGCTTCCAGCTTTTGCCCATTCAGTATGATGTTGGTATGGGTTTGTCATAGGTGGCTCTTATTATTTTGAACTAGGTTCCTTCAATGCCTAGTTTGTTGAGAGTTTATAGCCTGAAGATATATTGAATTCTGTTGACAGCCTTTGTGTGTCTATTCAGATGATCTCATGGTTTTTGTTTTTAGTTCTGTTTATGTGATGAATCACATTTATTGATTTGCATAGGTTGAACCAACCTTGAATCCCAGAAATAAAGCTTACTTGATAGTGGTGGATTAGCTTTTTGTTGTGCTGCTGCATTCGGTTTGCCGTGTTTTGTTAAGGATTTTTGCATCTATGTTTATTAGGGATATTTGGCCTGAAGTTTTCTTTTTTTGTTGTGTTTCTGCCAGATTTGGGTATCAAAATGATACTGGCCTCACAAAATAAGTTGGGGAGGAGTCCTCCTCTTTGATTTTTCAGAATTGTTTAGTAGGATAGGTACCAGCTCTGTTAGAATTTGGCTGTGAATCTGTCCCATTCAGGGCATTTTTGGTTGGTAGGTTTTTATTACTGATTCAATTTTGAATCTCATTATTGTCATGTTCATGGATTTGATTTCTTCTCAGTTTAATCTTCAGAGGTTGTACATCCATTTCTTCTAGGTTTTCTAGTTTATGTGAATAGAGTTGTTTGTAATAGTCTCTGAGGGTTTTTTGTATTTCTCTGGGGTTGGTGGTAATGTCCCCTTTGTCATTTCTTGTCATTTCTGATTGTGTTTATTTGGATCTTCCCTCTTTTTTTTTATTAGTCTAGTTAGTGGTCTATCAATCTTATTTATTCTTTCAAAAAACAAACTTTGGGTTTTCTTGATCTTTTGTATGATTTTCTCATCTCTGTGTAATTCAGTTCAGCTCTAATTTTGGTTGTTTCTTTTCTTCTGCTAGATGTGAGGTTGGTTTGCTCTTTTTTTTTCCAGTTCCTCTAGGTGTAATGTTCAGTTATTAATTTGACACTTTTTTCTAACTTTTTGATAGGAGTGCTTAGCACTAGAAAATTTCCCCTCACACAGCTTTACTGTGTCCCAGTGATTCTTGTATGTTGTATCTTTGTTTTAATTACTTCCAAAGGATTTCTTGAATTTTCCCTTAATTTCTTTGTTTGTCAAAAAGTCATTCAAGAGAAGTTTGTTTAATTTTCATTTAGTACTATGGTTTTGAGAGATCATGGTATTGATGTCTATTTTTATTGCACTGTGAACAAGAGTGTGGTTGGTATGATTTCAGTATTTTTTTTTTTAATTTGTTGAGAATTGCTTTATGGCTGAGTGTGTGGTCAGTTTTAGAGTATGTGCCATGTGCAGATGAGAAAAACGTATATTCTGTTATTTTTGGGTGAAGTGTTCTGTTGCTGTCTGTTAGGGCTATTTGGTCAAGTATTGGGTTTAGGTCCAGAATACCTTCGTTAGTATTCTACTTCAATGATTTGTCTAATACTGTCAGTGCAGTGTTGAAGTATACCACTATTATTGTGTGGTTCTCTTTGGTAAGTCTCTAAGAACTAGTTTTATGAATCTAGGTGCCCCAGTATTGGGTGGATATATACTTAGGATAGTTAAGACTTCTTTTGAATTGAACCCTTTATCATTATCTAATGTCCTTTTTGTCCTTTCTTTATAATTGTTGGTTTAATGTCTATTTTGTTAGAAATAAGAATAGTAACTCCTGCCCTTTTTTGTTTTTCATTTACTTGATAGATTTTTCTCCTGTCCTTTAGTTTGAGCCTATGGATGACATTGTATCTAAGATGGGTCTCTTGAAAACAGCATCCAGTTGGGTCTTGCTTTTTTATCCAACTTGCCACTCTATGCCTTTTAAGCAGGGCTTTTAGCTTGTTTACACTGAAGGTTAGTACTGATATGTGCTGATTTGATCCTGTCATCCTGTTATAAGCTTGTTGTTATGTAGACTTGATTGTGTGGTTGCTTTAGAGTGCCAATGGTTTATGTAGTTAAGTGTGTTTTTGTGGTAGCTGGTAATGATCTTTCATTTCCCTGTTTAGCACTCCCTTAAGGGTCTCTTATCGGGGGAACCCACCCCCAATATTTCAATGTAGGTTCTTTCTATTTTCTGTAAGTGTCAGCTGGCTGAGAAATAAAGAGAAAGAGTACAAAGAGAGGAATTTTACAGCTGGGCCTCCAGGGGTGACATCACATATTGGTAGGACCATGATGCCCACCTGAGCCTCAAAGCCAGCAAGTTTTATTAAGGATTTCAAAAGGGGAGGGGGTGCAAGAACAGAGAGTAGGTCACAAAGATCACATGCTTCAAAGGGCAAAAGGGGAACAAAGATCACATGCTTCTGAGGAAACAGGACAAGGGCAAAACAGAACTACTGATAAAGGTCTATATTCAGCTGTGCATGTATTGTCTTGATAAGCATCTTAAAAAACAGATAACAGGGTTCGAGAGCAGAGAACCGGTCTGACCTCAAATTTACCAGGGTGGGGTTTTTCCCCTCCCTAGTAAGCCTGAGGGTACTGCGGGAGACCAGGGCATATTTCAGTCCTTATCTCAACTGCATAAGACAGACACTCCCAGAGCGGCCATTTATAGACCTCCCCCCAGGAATGCATTCCTTCCCCAGGGTATTAATTATTAATATTCCTTGCTAGGAAAAGAATTTAGCAATATATTCCCTACTTGCACATCCATTTATAGGCTCTCTGCCAGAAGAAAAATATGGCTCTATTTTGCCCAACCCCCAGGCACTCAGACCTTATGGTTGTCTTCCCTTGTTACCTAAAATCACTGTTATTCTGTTCTTTTTCAAGGTGTACTGATTTCATATTGTTCAAACACACATGTTTTACAATCAATTTGTACAGTTAACACAATAATCATAGTGGCCCTGAGGTGACATACATCCTCAGCTTACAAAGATAACAGGATTAAGAGATTAAAGTAAGACAGGCATAAGAAATTATAAAAGTATTAATTTAGGAACTGATAAATGTCCATATTAAAATGAAATCTTCACAATTTATGTTCCTCTGCCGCAGCTCCAGCCAGTCCCTCCTTTTGGGGTCCCTGACTTCCCCCAACATCTCTTGTAAGGCAAATCTGATGTTAATAAATTTCCTTAACATTTACTTGTCTAAAAAGGATCTTATTTCTTTTTCACATAAGAAGCTTAGTTTGGCTGTATAGGAAATTCTTGCTTGGAATTTCTTTTCATTAAGGATGCTCAATATAGGCCCTAAATCTCTTCTGGCTTGTAGGGTTTCTGCTGAAAGGTCTGCTGTTTGCCTAATGGGGTTTCCTTTGCAGGTGACCTGCCCCTTCTCTCTAGAAGCCTTTAATATTTTTTTCTTTCATATTGACTTTGGACAGTCTGATACTATGTGTCTTGGGAATGGTCTTCTTGTATAGTATTTTGCAGGGGTTCTCTGAATTTCCTGAATTTAAATGCCAACCTCTCTAGCGAGGTTGGGGAAATTTTCATGTGCAATATCCTCAAATATGTTTTCCAAGTTTCTTGGTCTCTCTCCCTGTCTTTCAGGGACCCCAGGGAGTCATAGGTTTGGTCTCTTTACATAATTCCATATTTCTTGAAGGATTTCTTTGTTTTTTAAAATTCTTCTGTCTTTATTTTGGTCTGAGTTAATTCAAGAAACTGTTCTTTTAGTTCTGAGATTTTTTTCCTTCAGCTCAGTCTATTCTGCTGTTAATACTTTCAATTTTGTTACTAAATTCCTGCCATAGGTTTTTTTTTACCTCTATCAGATCAATCTGTTTTTTTTCTTGAATTGGCTATTTAATCTTTCATCTCTTGAATCATTTTATTGAATTCCTTACATTCTTTGGAATGGGTTATTTGGAGGTAAGGAGACACTGTGGTTTTTAGAGTTACCAGAGTTTTTGCACTGGTTCTTTCTCATCTTTGTGGACTGATGTTCTTTAACTGAGGTGTAATTTGAGTATAGTCAGTTGGCTTCATTTCTGGGTATTTACAGAGGGCCAAGCCTTTGCATAGATCTTATTTGTGGTTAAATTCTTGACTTTGGTTTCACAAGACGGTGTATTAGTAAAGTATTTTTGTTGAAATCTGGGCTGTCATCCAGTTGACTGCACTTCACCACAATGGCTCATAGGTAGGTTCTTAGCCACTGGCTCCTCTGCATTTCCTTGTGCTTGTAGCCATGCTTCCTCTCTGTGCTCTGAGAGTGGGCTCCTCTCCCACAGATCTCAGCCCTGCGGCTAGCACAGGCTTTTTCTTCCCTTGCCAGCTTGGGAGAAACAGGGGTGGGGACCTTGCAGTGGCAGTGGCAGAGGGTCTTTCACTTGTTTCTTAGGGCTCCACCTCAGAGAAATGCAGAGGCCCTCTTATCAGAATGATCAGCCTGGGGTGGGGCAGCTTTGTTGTGAGACCAAGTTGGGGGAGTTGGGAGTCTTGTCTGGTGAAGAGCAGGTGCTGGTCTCATGGAGAAGACAGCTGTCCTCTTCTCCACACGGCAGCTGTGGTGTGCTGGAGGTGTGAGTAAGGCACTCAGGTCTTTGTTCCTTCCCCAGCCTGGTGACAGCAAGGGCAGTTACCAATCAGCGGCAGTGGCAGAGGGGCTGTCTATTGCCTCTGGGAACTCCACCCCAGAAAGACACAAAGCTGCTGCCAATGGGAACTTTCAGCCAGTGGTGGGGCAGCTGCACAAGCTTATTTACTTCTCAGAAATCTTTAATTTCCTGATAGCCATTAGTTCCTGAAATTTATAATAGATTTCATGGCATCTGATGATAATTACACAAGTGTAAGGTTATAAAGTTTTGTGAGGAATAAGATTCAGAGAGAAATGAATACTAAAAATTATTTTTAAATTTTCTATTTATATATTGTTATAATGAGCACTAAGGCAAAAAAAAATTTTAAACATTTTAAATATTTAAAAAACTAAAACACATTAAAAAGCTATAAAAGCATTAGAGGACTTTATCCCTATACATTTGGCTTGCCCTTAGAAATAAATTAATATTCAGAAAGCATATTAATACCACAGATACTTCTCCACAATAGTAGCAACTACATCTTTAATAATTAAAGAAGACAGGTATATATAGAAGAGTGAAAAAAGGACTGTAACAAATAATATTATTGGTTTTTGTACATGTCGATAAATTCTGATAATGCTACTAAGGCAATTTTCATAGAGCTTGAGGAAATAGCATTGAGAGTTTATTATGTGTAACTCATAAATAGAAAATATAAGAGAGAGCATGAATGTGAGATAGTGACAGGCAAAATAACCCAAGTCCTGAAGTGATGGTAAGAAATGATAAAGGAGTGGTAGGATTAGAAATAATATTTCTGATATTGAATTCGAGTTGGAAGAGGAGAGTCTGGTCTCAAAATGGAGGTGAAACTGCCTCCCAGTAGCCCCAAGCCTGCTGCCGCCAGGGGGAGGAGGACCATGATCCAAAGGAACCATAGCAGTTGAGAAAACTCTTTACTGGTGGTCTGAGCTTTGAAACTACAAATGATAGTTTAAGAGAACATTTTGAGAAATGGGGCACACTCACAGATTGTGTGGTAATGAGAGACCCCCAAACAAAACGTTCCAGGGGCTTTGTTTTTGTGACTTATTCTTATGTTGAAGAGGTGGATGCAGCAATGTGTGCTCGACCACACAAAGTTGATAGGTGTGTAGTGGAACCAAAGAGAGCTGTTTCTAGAGAGGATTCTGTAAATCCTGGTCTCCATTTAGGAGTGAAGAAACTTTTTGTTGGTGGTATTAAAGAAGATACAGAAGAATATAATTTGAGAGACTACTTTGAAAAGTATGGCAAGATTGAAACCATAGAAATTATGGAAGACAGGCAGAGTGGAAAAAAGAGAGGATTTGCTTTTGTAACTTTTGATGATCATGATAGAGTTGATAAAATTGATGTTCAGAAATACCACACTATTAATGGGCATAATTGTGAAGTGAAAAACAGGGGTGGGGACTTTCTAAACAAGAGATGCAGTCTGCTGGATCACAGAGAGGTCATGGAGGTGGATCTGGTAATTTTATGGGTCATGGAGGAAACTTTGGAGGTGGTGAAGGTAATTTTGGCTGTGATGGAAGCTTTGGTGGAAGAGGAGGTTATGGTGGTGGAGGTGGTGGTAGCAGAAGTAGTTATGGAGGAGATGATGGTGGATAGAATGGATTTGGAGGTGATGGTGGCAGCTATGGCAGTGGTCCTGGTTTTAGTAGTAGATGGGGCTATGGTGGTGGTGGACCAGGATATGCAAACCAAGGTGGTGGATATAGTGGCGGTGGTGGAGGATAAGATGGTTACAATGAAGGAAAAATTTTTGGCAGTGATAACTATGGTGGTGTTGGGAACTATAATGATTTTGGAAATTATAGTGGACAACAGCAATCAAACTATGGAACCATGAAAGGGGGCAGTTTTGGTGGAAGAAGCTTGGGCAGTCCGTATGGTGGTGGTTATGGATCTGGTGGTGGAAGTGGTGGATATGGTAGCAGAAGGTTCTAAAAACAGCAGAAGAGGGCTACAGTTCTTAAGAGGGGAGAGAGCAAGAAGTTGTTAGGAAAGCTGCAGGTTACTTTGAGACAGTCGTCCCAAATGCATTAGAGGAATTGTAAAAATCTGCCACAGAAGGAACGATGATCGCTAGTCATAAAAGTTACTGCAGCTTAAACGGGAAACCCTTCTTGTTCAGGATTGCCATAGCCACAGTTTGCAAAAAGTGCAGCTATTGATTAATGCAATGTAATATCAATTAGATGTACATTTCTGAGGTCTTTTATCTGTTGTAGCTTTTTCTTTTCATTACATCAGGTATATTGCACTGTAAATTGTGGTAGTGTTACCAGAAAGAAAAAATTAAGGAATTTTTAACTTTTCAAAAAAAAGAAAAGAAATAAGATTTCTTTAAGTTCTTCAGTGTCTCTGATTCTAAAAGAGGAAGCTTCATTTAGCATAACATTTTGTACGGTCTCCTTCTTCATAAGTCAAATGCCCAGAGCACTTGATGTGCCTTCCTATGGCATTCATTTCATTCTTCCCAGCCTTAAAGTAATCTGTTTACTTTTCGTCTCCTCCATTAATAATATGAGAGGGCATTTATTGAAGAGTGACTGTGTGCCAAACACTTAAGAATGTCTCTGATATATGTTATTTCTGATTCTTAAAACAGCTCTGTGAAAAATACATTAGTATCCTTGCTTGTAAAGACAAGATCAGGAAACGAAGGCACAGAGTAGTTGACTCATTTGTCCAAAGTCTCCTAGTAAGTTTTGAAGCGAAATTTAAGCTTAAATACATGAAACTGAATGAATATGTTCTTTTTACTATGACTCTTGATAACCTCCTGAGGACAGAGACTTTGTCTTACTCATTTTATTCAAGTGAAGTGAATTATGTAATATAATCTAGCATCATGTAAATATAAGTGGACTAGGAATAAAGAACTTTGGGTTCTGATCACTGGTTAACTGTAAAGTCTTCTTGAGTAAACAACTTCCTCTCTGCCTGCTTTCATGCTTTATTTCTCCAATTGTTAAATGGCAGTTCAATGTCTGGAGTGAGAATGTGGATTTGGAAACAGGTGTGAAAGAGAACTTTCACTGATAATGCATCTTTATTTCAACCAGAGACTATAGTATGTTTAACCCCTCACTTAGTCACTGGGAAATCCTTTTAACCCTCATTGTGGTACAAACATCTCAATTTTGTTTTTATACTTCTTCATAGAATGGTAGCCACAGAGAATTATCTTCAATAGTGTCAAAAGAAATCAGTTATTCAAACAAAAGTTTGGAACCCAAACAAGACCAATAATGTATTTATTGGTAATATGAGCTTCCAATAATGCCCTTGAAAGCTAACACAAGGAAAATCATGTCAGTGTATTTAAAGCATCCTCCTGTTCCTCTTTTTTTTTTTTTTTTTTTTAGTTTATGTTAGCACACCCTCAGGTATATTTTCTTTTTGGCTTGCCAGCAATGTTAAGTTAGCTGGTGTTTTTATGAGATGCCACAAACATATTTTCTTTGTTGTAGATATCTACAAGAAGCAAGTGGCTTGAATTGTCACTTTCTCTGACATATTTTGCTGCTTTTTGGTTTCTGATATCAGTTTTTCTAACTCATGAGTTCTCAGTCAGGGCTGAATGCTCCTTCCTTTAGCATGAGTTGAAAGACTGTGGTAACCCACAGAAAAACTGACTGTGATATTGCTTTTCAAAGTTCTCCAAAAGTTGAAACTGTGCTTCTTTTACAGCCTCCTGGAGAGTATGCCTATATGGAGCATCTTGCAGGCATTTCACATTCCTGCTCTGACTTGGACTCCATCTATAATTACATGGTGATTTTAAAATCCATTTGAAAGAGGTATGGCTAGAGAGGATTAGCCAGCTTATTAAAATATCCTTTTTTTCTATAAGGTTTTCTGCTTTTCCACAGCCAAAGCCTTCACATGGTTGGATGTGATATGACAGTTTGAAATAAATGAATTGAAAAATAAAACTGTTAGCATTTGAGATTCAACCAAATCAGAGAGATATTTTTTATATACAAAATAGATATTTTATGTGTTAATTGCTAGGCATATGCTGGCAACCCTAGCTCAGCTGTGTTGAAGTTAAACAGCTTTAGATTTTAGGATTCGAAACAATCTTCACATGATATTTGGAAGGGGTTACACAGCTACTTTGCACTGGCAGATTCACCTCCATGAATAGAATCTTCGTTTTTCCTACCTGCTTTCCTTTTGCAATGATACAAGGTGATGTTCGCCACGGAGAATTTCAATAGGACCCTGTTGTCAGAATCTATCACGATATTAGGTTTATTTGGCAGTCGGTTAGGAAGTAGACTATTTTATTTTTGGCCATTAATTTCCATTGTGCATTTCATTGAACACTCTAGTTTTAATTATCTATTTCCAGAACTGCACATTTTAAGCCACTGTAATCACACAATGTTTGTGTTGTCATTGGTTAAATTACAATAATTTCACTCCAGAAGATTTGTTACCTTCACATGGGAGAGTGATTAAAAACCCATTAACAACTAGCCATTTAGCCATTATTGGCCCCACACCCTCAAACGCCATGGAATTCTAGAAAGAAATATAAATGAGGGAAGCAGATCCCAGTGAGAGGGTCTATTGTGACCAGGGCAGTTTATGCCCCGCCTACCTGGATTCAGGTAGTTTAAATTTGTTTACTCAAACTCAGATTGCAAGTTCACAGCCCATGTGGGGAACTTGGAGTGAATAATCAGTTCTGTAGTTTCTCCATTTCTGGCAGAGGCAGGAAATGCTGGTTTAAGGACTAACAGTTTTCTTCCCGGCTCTAGACAGTGTGAATGGAAAAGGCCTATACCTACCCAGTACATGGAAGTTAAAAACGTAATAGGCAAGTGAATGCCCTAATCAAGATGAACTTTGCCATGTCTCCAAAGTTACTTCAGTGCAAATCAGAGCCTCTCTGTCTTTATAGTTAAGAGAATATGGTTTTCAATCAGCATTCTTATTGGCTGTTTCAATACTAATTCCACTAATCATCTCCTAGATTCTCCATTAAAAGGTTAGGATTGGAGAACTATTAGAATTGCCAGGTTCCAGTGTCTAGGAACTATATAAACTCAGCCTGTATAACACCATGCCTTCTCAGAGCTGTAAAGATATTATGAATTCCCTATTCCACTCTCATTTTATATGTGAACACTCTATAAGCCCAGCTAGAGTGAATTTCTGGAAGTCGCACAGTTGGTAAGAATGAAAGACTGCAATGTAATTCCTTTCCCTCAGTTTTCCTAAGATATATAATATTGAATATATGTACATTCTATTCTACATTGCTTCCTTTTGAGCTACCCTATCTTCTCCATACGATAGTTTATATACTGATGTATACATGATTAAGTATGGAAACTAAATTCCCCCAAAAAAGATCTGTGACATTTAGAGTTAAGTCAGCAACCAGCTCTAGTAGCTGAATATATTTTAACTGCTGTGCTGTTACCAGCATGAGCTATTGATAAGCATTCTTCCTAATGCAGAACCTGCCTGGCAGAGCAGAAGCTGATGTCTCCTATGATACATATGACCACAACAGAAACCCTGCCTCAGACTGACTAGCAGTCTCAAAACCAAGGTCAGCACTTAGCAGGGAGACAATACATGGTAGTGGGTTTTCAAACATGGATTATAAATGAATTACAAATATACTATACATAGCAGGATAGGAATGGCAACATATTATCTACAAACCAATGCTTAAAGGATATTGGTCTTATCTTCTGAGACACTTCTACAATGTCCCTACCTTGAACTTCACCATATCCTCAATAGCACTCTCTGCTCACAAATTGAGAGGTGTTTTTATATGTCACTTCCATTCCTCTGCTAACATATTTACTCAAACATATCCAGCTTCTTTATGTTCAGAATACATCTGTTTATAGAACATCCAGCACACTTGGAATAGATAAGAGTCTCAGTAAATGCTCCATTTTAGTGAAAACCCATGGAGGGAAAGCAAAAAGGAAAATAAATTACAAGATAAAGTAAAACTAGCAATGCTAGAGGGGTCTAGCCACCACTATGGGAGCTACAGAAAAAATTTGACTACCTCATTTTGGTGGAATCAGCTCACACAGGAAGTGATATTTGAGGATTAGCAAATTTCTAGTTCAATGAGAACAGAAATGCAAAAAATAATTGCTTTATCTATTTCAACTCTATTCAAAAACATTCATTTGGACCTGGTTTTGCTACTAAATTGGTTTTTAAAATATAATTAAGGACTAGATTTTTGGAGGTACACGAAAATGAAGGAATCTGGAAGATGGCACGTTTAGAAGTTAAGAGGAGGAAGAGTTAATTTTTGTCACAGGAGGCCATGTTTCTGAATTATGAACCATGATATAAAACTCGAAGTGCTGGTTAGAGGGCTGGTATGAAAGATATGCCAATTTAATCATAAATCAGTGAAAGTTTAAAACAAACAAAAAACCCAAATATATATGCCACTAAGTTAGGGCAGATTTTTTTTTTAAGTTTTAAGTATAATAGGAAAATGTTTAAATGTTTACTACCCGCACAATAGTTTAAAATTAGATTATCTTCATTCCTCAGCTGCTGCTATCTTTGAGGTCAGCTGCATTGCATAAAATAATATGGGAACCCTTGTTGCCTGTTACGTAATTACAATCGTGGAAGAGATAAAGATTACATTCCATGTGCTGAGACTGATAGGAGCTGAGGAATAATGTCATCTAATGGATTTTTGTTTTATTTTCTAAAATGTCTTTGTCCTCTGGTTTCCTAGGTCTTTTCTGTGTTAAGAGAATTGGTGCTGCTTTGCAGAGAAACATTACCTTTTTTCTAGCTAATCTTCTTTGTCATTTTCCCCCAATACCTTCAATGAATGTTTACCAAGAGACAACTAAGTGCCAGGCACTGTTCTACGTACTGGGAAGATGAAGGGAAAAATGAAAATATTTTACCAAAACACGGTTTCTTATTTATTCTGAATGAAATTAGGAATCTACTTTGGGAGATAACATTGAAGATAACAACCAGATAACTGCTTGAAAAACTAAAATATAAACAGTTAAAAGAGGCTGTAACTAGGGACTAAAAATAAAGGTAGGAGGGATGGAGCAAGAGAGTTGCTTTTCACCATAAGCTCTTCTGTATTATTTTATTTTTTTACTGTATTTATGTATCATTTGTATATAAATTAAAACTAAGTAACTGATGCCTTGAAAAGGAGCATGGAATGTGCTTACGTCCTTAGAATGAGGCTGTAAAAGACACTGAAAATAAGAATAATGAAAAACAGACTAAAGGAGTAAAAGACATGACCCTTAAGATTTGTCAGTTTAATAGAGAAACATCACAAAGCATGAAAAATCATCTAATGCTATAAATTAGAAAGCGGGTTGGTTTTGAATTGGGGATGCTGTTTTGATATATTTATATACATACATGTATGTATGTATATATAGTTCTGCTAAACTTTCTTAGGATATTTGGAATCATGGCATCACTCCATTGCATTTAACTGAACAAATATTTATTGAATCCTTATTATTTCCTGGGCACTACCCTAGATGCAGAAATTCTACCATTGAATGAGGCAGACATCCTTCTCCCCATAGAGTTTACTGTTTAGTAGCAAAACTAAGAGCCAGGGAGATTAAATTCATCCTGCCAAGACTCAAATATCAGGTTGATTATACAGCAACAGTAGACTAATTGTTTTCTCTCTCTCTCCTTTTTTTTTTTTTTTGTAAGAGACAGTCTTGCTCTGTCTCCCCGGCTGGAGTGCAGTGGCACGAACATAACTCACTAAAGCCTCAAACTTTTGAGGTCAAGGGATCCTCCAAATTTAGCCTCCAGAGGAGCTGAAACTACAGGTGCCACATACAGCTAATTTTTAAAGAGATGCTATGTTGCCCAACCTGATCTTGAGTTCCTGATCTCAAGCAATTCTATGGCCTCAGCCCCTGGAGTAGCTGGGATTACAGGTGGGAGCCACCATGCCTGGCTGTTTTATCTCTTAAGTAATTTAGAACCTCAACATTTTTAACTTCAAGTGTCAGCTCATTCCTTTAATTTGCACTGTCGTACTGAGTTCAAATTCATGTTTTGGAACAGAAATCTGTAATTTCTTCATTAATCACATATGTGCAGTATGACAAAATACAAAATATATATGTCACTTTGTTAGGCACCAGACAGAAAGAACACATATACTATAGTCTAGGAAGCTGGTGGTCCTTGTTAACCAGGGTAAAATATTTGGTCAAACAGTTGCTTTTCATGATTGTAGTGTCAGACACATCACCCAGGCTTGTTGGAAGAATTAGTGGGTAGTTATTTGTAGCCATTAACAACAGCATCCTACCCATGAAAGCCAAACCATGAATAAAGTTAGCCAACCTATCATCAAAAATGGAAGAGGATAAAGTTTTAATAAAAGACGTGTTCTCTGCCTGACACCTGTAATCTGAGTTGACTGAGCATCCACTAGTGTTGGGCCTGACAGGCAGTAGAAACCAACTGTTATTGCAAAGCAACAGCTTGAGTAAGACTGTGCTCCCTGGGCCCTTCTCTAGTATATTTCATAACAATTCTCTGCTAAACGTAGGAGTCATCCCAGGGGCAAACACCAAATAAGGGGCAGTGCCTCCTCACACACTATTAAAGTGAGGGGCACAGAGAAAGCACAGAGGGCATTAAGTGAAAGAAAGAGATTTCAAGCTTATTAATCATTTCTCAGGTAAGATTTGGAAAGCAGCCTATTACTAAATCCCTTGTGACTCGGGTTATAGAGGGTTGTCAAAACAGTTGGTTTCATCAGGTTGTAATGTGCAAAACAGCCATGGCACTCTGCTACTGCATGTTAAACCAACAGAGCGAAGCAATTAATCTTAGAGTCTTTTAAATGGCATTTTTTTTTCTAAAAGAAAAGAAGTAACATCATCAGCTACATTTATGCTAAAAACTGGCACAAAGTAAAGGATTAAAAGATAGGAGAACCAATACTAGCACCCTTCTAGCTTATTTTCATTTAATAGTTTAGCAATTCCATGACTCAGATATTGCTTCCCAATTAAGTATATTCATCAACGTGGAGCCATTTTCATTCCTCTAAAGATTAAATATTGATGCCTTTGTACACAGTGGGCAATGATTATACATTTCTCTCTACATTTATGTTAACTTCATTGCATCTCAGTTATGACAAAATATTTTCCCATGAAGTTTTTGTTTCTTTCTCTAACTTCTAATCATTTAAGAAATTTAATCAGTAAAGAAATTATAATCATAAAACACTTTATGGTCAATAAAACAGAACTTCATGGTCTTTAGTTTTTAGTTCAATATTCATTCAATGACTTCCTTTCCTTAATAAAAAATGATATTAACAACACCAATCATTTTCTTTCTTATTCACCCTTATAGATATCTCTATATAGCTTCAAACATGGATGGGGTTGAGAGTGGATAAAATATACTTATTACCATAGAAGAAGAAGTTTAAAATCAAGTAGCCATAATAAGGTGATATAGTAAGCGACCGATCAGAATAGATTGGTTTCTCTCAACCTTTTTTCATTATTGTTCCCAGCAAAAAGACTTTTTATATTTTTTTATTGTTTCCTCCTGGTGAATTTTAATAACATAGCACACTATGTTATTTTTATATTTTGACCTTTCTGGAGGGCTAATAGTTAAGATTTTTCTGCTCCTCAAGAATCAGGTTTTGCCTTCTTGGGAAATGCAGGGCTCCACTGAGAATACATGGAATAGGTTAAAAACATTCTTCTTGGCCGGGCATGGTGGCTCACGCCTGTAATCCCAGCACTTTGGGAGGCCGAGGTGGGCAGATCATGAGGTCAGGAGATCGAGACCATCCTGGCTAACACGGTGAAACCTCGTCTCTACTAAAAATACAAAAAATTAGCCAGGCGTGGTGGCGGGCACCTGTAGTCCCAGCTACCCGGGAGACTGAGGCAGGAGAATGGTGTGAACCTGAAAGGCAGAGCTTGCAGTGAGTAGAGATCTTGCCACTGCACTCCAGCCTGGGCAACAGGGCGAGACTCTCCATCTCAAAAAAAAAAAATTCTTCTCAAATATTTTCATCACAGCATCATGAAAGAAATTTAACAATGTATTAAGTGTCTAGTATGTAGTCCAAAATATTTACAAAGCAAAATTTCTTCGAAGTTTTATTTAAAAATTCTTACACAGTTGCCATTCTAATTCAGAATATACCCATGCTTTCTTTGGTTTACAGTACATTTTCCCCAAATCTTTTATTAAAGTAGACCCACTCTGAGAACATGTCATGTGTATCCTGTGGCTCTTTGTATCCTGTCATGTTGTAACATATCCTATTTTATCACTGATATTTCTTTTCAACAATCAGTATTGAAAGGCTCATGGATTCTTGATCACTGACTATAGATGACTAAAATGACTCATGCTGATATGGTGCAACTCAACTCAGGGGCTTCCTGCCACTCTTCTACCCAATTCCTGGCCTTCTCCCTCAAGGGAAAAAAATATATTCCTCTCCACAAAATTTTGGGTTACATGTTTAAGAAAGGCTTCATGGGAAGCAGGAAACCAGAAGGAGTTTGCCAGGATAGACAGAAAATCAACGATGTCTTTGAATATATTTCTGCCTGCCAGATTTCTTTCTCCCTGCCTAAACATTCGACACTGCAAGATGTTATTACAACAACATGGAAGGTAAACTTACTTCATAATATGTTGAAAAATAATTTATAACTGTTCTAAATTTTACTCCTAAAAATATGCTCTTGGATTGTCATGTTGCAATACCTGTCTCTGGAATGCAGTGAGTTAAAATATCATGAAGCACTGTGTATCATACAATACTAAACAAATAGTACTTTAAAGCTGCACCACTAATGTATGCTTACTGAAGAGAAATTAGGGAAATGAAACAGGAATAACATTGCTATAAAAATCATATAATTATTTACCTACTACTTAGAGATAACTGATATAAAGTAACATCATTTCAGGTCAATAATATCCTTTAAGATATTTTTAATTTTTTTGCTTTTTAATTTTTACATTAATTGTATTATACTTTGTATCCCCCTATTATGGACTGAGTTTGTTCCCCCAAAATATATAGGCTGAAATCCTACTCCCTAATGTGATTGTATTTGGAGATACAGCCTTTAAGGAGGTAACTAAGGTTAAAGACATCATAAGGGTAGGGCCCAAAGCCATTAGGACTGTGTCCTTATAAGAAAAGGAAGAGAAGCTTTGTACTCACACAGGAAAGGTCATGTGAGAACACTGTGGGAATGTAGCTATCTGCAAGCCAGGAAGTAAGGCTACACCAGAAATCAATTCTAGTGGCATCTGTTTCTTGGAATTTCATCTTCCAGAATTGTGAGAAAATAAATTTCTGTTGTTTAAGCTACCCAGTCTGCAGTATTCTCTTATGGCAACCTAAGGAGACTAATACAAGCTTATATATTTTTGGGGGGATCACTTTAAAAGACAAACACCTTTTCTTTTAATAAATATGTTTCTATTATTACTTGAAATGGTATAAACTCCTATTTATTTCAAATAAGAAGACAAAGGTGTTTCTTTAGCATTCTAGAATTATGAGAAAGCCTAATTAAGTAAAATTAGATTTTATTATGACTAGTTCTTCAATTTTATAACCACTAATGGTTGGCTTCCAGTTAACACATTCTACCCACCTGTTTGTACTCTATTAATTACTTAATTAACCTGATTTTTTCATCATCCCTACTTGAGTTGGGGGTAACTATAAAGAACACCTTTGGTTTTCTGCAGTTGTCTTCCTCATAACTGTTAAAGACCTGGATGGATATTTTGTCTGCTTTAGACCTTGTATTGAGGAGTTTAAGAGCCAACTCTGACATGTATGGGGAAAAAGTAGAATAGAATTTCAATAGAATTGGGTATGGAAAGGGATACTTCACTTCAGGTTGGTATCACTTCCATGGTCTGCCTTCTACTTGAGATCTTATGTCCAGGTGATAACCAAGGCTGATTATTTGAGCCCCCAAATTGAAAACTTTATGGAAACGTATACTCAATTTTTATAAAGACTTAACTTTAAGGATTGGTGTAAGGAGCTCCCAGTTTTGTTGCTCAAATCCGTAAACATTTAGGCAAATACTTATGCAGTAGTTAGGTTTCTAGTAATTGTTACAGAACTGTTTCAATGTAAGATTGTCCCTGGGCTCTTAGAAATACCGTAATCCAAATACCAACCGTTAAAACAGATACCAGCTGCTGGACACAGCACAGAGTAAAATGGGTCATGGTGACTTTACTGATCTTTGGGCTGACAGGAGCACTTGCACAGTGAATTCTACAAGGTACTCAGAGGTGGTGTAAGGACATGGAGATTCACTCATCATCTCATTCTTTATTCTAAGCATCACAATCTCAAATTTCAAAATGAACATTGTTCTTATTCCCAGAATCCTATTTGTGTTACTAATGTTCATAAAATAGAATGCAAAATCTTGATCTATCGTTACACAAACAAACCCTCAAGTAAGTCTGCATCTTGATTACATTTTTGAAAGAAAGTACATGAATGTAAAGCCAATATCTATATATTGTTGTCTTTCTCACTGCAATAAACTTGCATATATACACACCAACAGCATTCATATTAAATAAAAACAAATTTTGGGGATCATATTCCTTTAGCACAGATTAATTTTCATAAGGCCACTGCCATTTCTTGCATCTACTGTACTCTGTAGAGTGAATGCCAGTCTTGTTGGTGCTGTGAATGACAAATCTATGTCTGATACAGCTAACCATGTTATTTAAAGTAGCTCTAACTGGAGGAGGATCCTATTTTGTATAGCATTCTCTTCCCTTGCTCTATTTTCCCTTTATCTTTCTTTAGAGTTCCTTATTTGAAGTTATTGACCCTTCCTAACTTCAAAGATGACATGCACTTTATCTCCAAAACTGCTGGAAATTTTCTTTAAAACAGTACTAGTGCCTTAGGGGGGCATGCTAAAAGAGAAATTACTAGGTGCCCATCGATGGTGGATTGGATAAAGAAAATGTGGTGTACGTACACCATGGACTATGCAGCCACGAAAAAGAACAAAATAATATCCTTTGCAGCAACACGGATACAGTCAGAGGCCATAAACCTAAGCTAATTAATGCAGAGACAGAAAACCAAATACTGCATGTCTCATAAGTGGGAGCTAAACATTGGGTACTCATGGACATAAAGATGGGAAGAATAGACATTGTGGACTACTAGAGAGGGGAGAAAGAGTGAGGCCATGGTTTGAAAAACTACCCATTGGGTAATATGCTCACTACCTGAGTGATGGCATCATTTGTACCCCAAACCTCAGTGTTATGCAATATGCACGTTACGAACTTGTACATGTACTTCCTGTTTTAGATTTTAAAAAAAGTTGAAGTAAAGCAGACCTGGGGTATAGGTAAAGATTTTGGGCAAATATTTATGTGGAGTGCCTTCCCTTGCCCCCAGATGCATTTCTGATTTTCTCATTGTCTTTGGTTTTAAGCACTTTTATCATGGTGTGCCTAGGTACTATTTTTCATAGACATTATCCAGTTTGTGGTTTGTTAAGTTTACTGGGTGTTTAGACGTTTATATGTTTTTTACTACACTCAGGGAACTTTCAGATGCATCCAGATGGGTACATGCCCTCAGGAAAAGTTGCAACTAATCAGTCTCAATTCATCACTCCTTTAAGAGCTTTTAATTCTTGCCTTTTATTTTCTTAGGGCCCTGCCTCTGGAAGGTTTTTTTCTGTAAAGCGCTTTGAGACTGCAGGAATTTCTACTGGTTTTAAAAAACTATCTTAACTATTTGGCAACCCATGTGATAAAGCTTGGGAATTCCACAAACATACTGAGAAAGAAACCAGCCAAGAGTTGAAGTTCCTTGAATCTCCAGATTTTGGGTTTTTGTTTGTCTGTTTGTTTGTTTTACTTCAGTTTGATGTGACTGCTTCTGGGTTCTTTTTTTCTCTATTCCCCATCAAATATCCTCTGCTCCCAAAAGCATAGATTCCCAAACGTTGTTCCATAACAAAAACTATCAAAGGCCTCCAAAATAAAAGCAGGTACAAACTCTGAAAAGGTCTCCCCTCTCTGGAATTTCAGTATCTCTAGTCCTCCTTGCTTTTGCCACTCCTGATACTTTTAAAATCACAATGTTTGCAATTTATTTTGGTTTCTTGGTTTAGTTTTGTTTGTTGGTTTTTTTGTTTTTTCAAAGAAAGCATTGGAATGCTACCAACTACTCCAAAACACAAGTCTGTGGTATGGTTGTTAATATCTAAAAGGTCCTCAGTTGACTCTAATTCTGCATAAAATTCCATATCACAAGATTCAGTACATTGAGACAGTGAACATCTTCTAATCATATAAAAACACCAAAAAAGTAATGAATACATAATTTATAACTTTTTGAATAAATTTGTTTGACCAAATAACTTTTTTCATTTTAGCAAACTGAGATCACCTGACATGAGAATTTAAGGAAGGGGTATTAAACGGAAGCATGATTAAGAAAATATACATTTTAGTAAGACAAATATTAGGGGATATACCACCACAAAGCCAGAGAAAAATTTGAGCACCAAAAAAAAGTAGAAACAATTGCAGATGATGGAAGAAATTACCGCAAAAGGGAAAAAAGTATGTTTTGCCTCTGTAATTATTCTAATGTTTGGTTTTTAGCCAAAATGTAACAGAGTCCAAAGAGAAAAAAAAAGTATTGTTCCTTCTTCATTCTCAGTAAAGGATCATACAATTTAAAAATAACTGACCAACAGCAGTGATTTTTTAGGTGTGTTCTGTGGACTTCTAAGATTTATTTTGCAAGAGATGTGGTGGTAGCCTGCCTCCATCACGGCCCTGCAGTGATTCATGCCCACTGGTATTTATGCCCTTGCATAATCCCCTTCCACATAGGGCTTACCCGAGTAATTAATAGGATTTATCAGAAATGAAGGAGTATGGCTTTCAAAGCTAGGTCATAAGGGACATGACAACTTCCTTCTTGCTTTCTCCTGGACTGAACTTTCTTCTGGAAGTCATCTGTTATATCGTGAAGACACTCAAACAGCCCTATGGAGAGGTCCATGTGGCAAAAAACAAAGGCCTCCAGCCAAAGGCCAGCAGCAGTGGGCCAGTAAGCCACTTTGAAAGCAGATCCTTTTTCTCAGTCCAGCCTTCTGTTGAGTGTAACCCTGACAGATTTTCTGCGAGCCTATGAGAGACATTAGGCTAGAACCACCCAGCTTTATGATTTTTGACTCACAAACCTGTGTGAGATAATAAATGTTTACTAGTAAGCCACAATTTGGGGGAGGGGAATTGATTACACAGCAAGAGATTACTAACACAGATGACTAACAGGGGTATTGCATAGTAGAAGATAAAAGATAAAAGAGGAGAAGATAAAAGATAAAGCAACTACATGGAAATTGTAGCACTCCATCTTTCAGCTTGATACTATTTCCGACATTGTTCAGGAGTAGCCCTACCATTTGTATTCTAGGCATCGGAATATTATTTAAGAGAAGTCCCTTGAACAAATCCATTACAAGTGATAGTCTCCTTTACTAGACCTTAAAAATTTGCTTCCTGGCCAGGCAAAGTGGCTCACACCTATATCCCAGCACTTTGGGAGGCCAAGGCTGGAGGATCTCTTGAGGGCAGGGTTTGGAGATCAGCCTGGGCACCACAGTAAGAACCTATCTCAACAAAATAAAAAAATTAGCTAGGCATGGTGGCACTGCCTATAGTCCCAGCCACTTGGGGAGCTGAAGTGAGAGGTTTGCTTGAGACCAGAAGCTTGAGGCTACAGTGAGCTGTGATCATGCCACTGCATTCCAGCCTGGGAGATGGAGTGAGATCCTGTCTCTAAAATTAAAATAAAAAGATTACTTCCTGTCCTACTTTCCAGATTTTCCCCTTCATCCTCTCTTCAAACTCAATAATCCCTAGCAGTAACAACCAATACCCTCTTGCTAAAGAATACTATATTGTAATAAAAGCCATGTTGCCAATGTAATTAACACATATATTAGATTATCAAAAAGAATCAAAGCAAATGCAGAAGGTAAAGGAAAAGTGACACTCAGATGTCTACGTTGTCATGTTTGTAAAACATATCATTTTTCATCTGTTCTCTCACACATCCATTTAGATTAACATGAATTTTCAGCACGTGCCTTCTGAACACTTGCCTCTCTTTATGTGCTTTTTAAAAGAGTCTATCAGCAATTTTAATATCCACTCTGTGAAAGAGAGTCAGCTGGAGTTGTGGGTTTACTAAATGTGTTACTAGACAAAAATCATTAGTGAATCTTAACTCCTGCCTGAAATAAAAATATAAAAAGTCTGAGTCATAGGCAGCCATTTGATCCATCCCACAACACTGAAGGAAAGTTCACTTCTTTTTAACTTCCCTCACTCCTCTCTGGCCTTGAATTTTCTCATCTGTCTATCATAGTATATCTGGAGTTTTGCATCCAGATGGAAAAAGGCTAAATAGCAACACAAAGCATTTACTCAAACTGCTGAAAACGTCTCAAGAAGGAGTATAAAAGTTTCAGGAAGGACAATTACATAACCATTTGTCTTAAAAATCCATAAGTGAGGCTAGGACACACAAAGAGGATCAAGATGAGATTTGGCAGGGTGGAACCGAGAGCTTGAGGGAAGCTTAGTTTGTATTTACTTGAAATTATTTTAATTATGTTGGACCACAGCCTTATAAGTTTGTACTAATGATATACCACAACTGTGTTGAGTACTATTTTAGAAAAATAAAAACTGATACAGAAGTTTAAAGGTGATAGTGAAGAGAAAAAGTGAATGATGGTACTCAGTATTCTGTATAGATTTCCAGAGATAATTTATCATTTAGTTTTTAATGGATATTTGCATAAGAATATTAGTGGGCAAGGTGACAGTTGATAACATTTTACTGATTCTAAGATTATTCTTTCACCTCTTTCCAAAAGAAAGACATACATTTATTTCCATCTTAGTTGGAATATACCTACATAAATGGTGACTCATAAAAAAGTTACAATGCCAATGAATTTTTTATATTAACAGAGAATGAAAATGTCCTCAGCCAAGAGACAAGCCAATACTTTGGAGTCTTGTTCACCAGCAAACTTTGTGAACAGAGACATTCCTGTAATCCCTGAAATAACACAGCGTAGGAGACCACCTAACCCTCTTACCATGCAGAAAGCATGAAGGCTTTGGACTTTTAGGTCTCTAAAGAATGGAAGATAGAACAATTAAAGGATGCTGGAGAAGGATTTTTAGCAGTCACTGATTCAGCCAATAAAAATAAGAACAAAAAAGAAAGACAACAAAAAACTCAAGTTTATCGAAAGAATAAGCGTCAATTCCATGCCCCTGTGGTTTTCTTAGTCTCCTTTATGTGTATTGTATGTTTAGACTTTCCAAAGCTCTTTCTCAGACTTTATTCTTTACCTTAGTATTCTCTCTGTTAACTTCTCACCCAAAGGTCCTTGAATTTCCAAATCTTTATTGTCGTCCAGACCTTTCTCCTGAGTCCAGATCCCTGCATCTAATCACCTACTCACTGTCCACATGGTATGCCCTAAAGGAAATTCAAAACCAGTAGATCCAAAGTAAATTCATCATCTTTTCTGCAAAACAACTTCTTACCCAGGTTGCCCTAGCTCAGTAAATGAGAGAACTATTCATCTTGTTTGCAAGACAGAAATATAGCAGTCATCCTTGAAATAGGTTGTTTTATCCCCTACAGAAACAAATCTTTCCTTGCTTGTTTTTATGTCTGAAATCTTTCTAAGCTGTCCTCTCCTTTCCACCCACAGCACTTCTACCATCCCTGTCCAAGGTAATCTCACTTCCTGTCAGGCTTCCACAACAGCCTGCTCACCACTCTCTCCTCTTTACGTAGGCTCCAACAATCCATTCTCCACAGAAGGGGCAGAAAGATCTTTTGAAAAAGAAGATCTTATTATTCCCAACCCGCAAATTCTTACAAAGGCCTTTCACTGTTCTTAATGTGATGGGCAAAGTTCTTGCAATGACTGGAAAGCCTTGTTTTTTCCTCACTCCTTCTAGGCATCATCTTCTTCTTCCAGGTCCTGTAATGCCATGTTTCCTCACACACATGCCCTGTCTTCCATCAGTCTGTAAAGCTTTCTTACAAACACTCTGCCTAGTCACCTCCAATTCATCCTTCAGATTGCAACCCAAATAGACCTTCTTCAGGGAAGTCTGTTCTGAGCCCTCAGATTAGAACTATTCCCTAATCTGTTATGAGATCTGTCTGTAGTTTCTGTATATAAATTCCATAGATTGTTTCTTTTATTTTTTTTTTTTTTTTACCAATTTGAATGGTTCTCTGCTCTTTCCAACAACTGATTCTAAATAAGAGACATTGGCAGAAAAGGAAGATTTAGAAAAATTTATTTGGAATTAAGAAACATTTAGATATTTGTTGTCTGTATCTTATTTTTGGTGAAAAGGTGTTCCAAAACCATTTTGCACTAAAAAAGGAAATACTTCTCTTCTTTCTATACATATCTGCTATGGTCTGAATTGTGTCCCCACAAAATGCATATGTTGATGTTTTAACTTCTGCTGTGGATGCATTTGGAGATAGGGCCTTTGGGAGGTAATTAAGGTTAACTGAGGTTTAGGAGATGATGAAGTCTTGAGAGCACAGCCTCATAGTTGAGATCAGGTCCCCTATGAAAGGGCTTGAGGGAATGGGTTGCTCAGTTTTGTTCTTCTGTCATGTGAGGACACAGTGTTCATCTTCATTTTGCTATGTGAGGATACCTACATGCCATCTATGAAGAAGAGGCCCTCACAAGACACTGAACTTGCCAACATCTTGATTTTGGACTTCTCAGCTTCCAGAACAGTGAGGAAATAAATTTCTTCACTTTTTAATAAGTTACCCAGTCTCAGATCATTTGTTATAACAGCACAAATGGACTTAAGATAATACAAAGGTGCCAAGGATACACAATGGGAAAACAATAATTTCTTCAACAAAAGATGTTAGAATAACAGCATATCCACATTCAAAAGAATGTAGTTGGACCCTTAACTTATACCCTATGCAAAAATTAACTCAAAATGAATTAACTATAGTTACACACCATACCCCCAAATATGTATAATTACCATTTGTCAACTAAGAATAAAATAAAACTTAAAAATGAATTAAATGCCTAAACATAGAAAACTATAAAACTACTAGAAGAAAGCATAGGGAGAAAGCTTCATGATATTGGATTTGGCAATGATTTATTGGATATGACACTAAAAGCATAGGAAACAGAAGCAAAAACAGACAAATCAGACTACGTCAAACTTAAAAATTGCAGTCCCACAAAAGAAATTATGGAGTGAAAGCAACCTAAAGAATGGAAGAAAATATTGCAAACCATATGTCTAATAGTTAATATTCAGAATAAAGAACTCCTACAACTCAAATAGCAACAACCAAAAGCAATCCCATCTAAAAAGTGGACAAAGAACTTGAATAGATATTTTTTCAGAGAAAACATATAAATGAACAGTAAGCTAAGGAGAGGATGCTAAATATCCCTAATCATCAGGTAAATGCAAATCAAAACCACAGTGAGATATCACTTCACACTCATTAGGATGGTCACTTTCAAAAATACAGAAAATAACAATTGTTGGCAAGGATATGGAGAAATTGGATTCATTGAACACTGTTGATTAGAATGTAAAATTAAGCAGCTACTGTGGAAAATAATATGGAGGCTCCTAAAGTAATTATAAATAGAATTACCATATGATCCAGTAATCCCACTTCTAGGTATATAGCCAAATGAATTGAACACTTTCTCTCAAAAAGGTACTTGCACACTCATGGTCACTGCAACATTGGTTACAATAGCCAAGAAGTGAAAATAACCTAAATTTTCATGAACAGATGAATGAAGAAAATGTCATATATATATTATATATATATATATATATATATCAATTAGAACTATTCCCTAATCTGTTATGAGATTTGTCTATAGTTTCTGTATATAAATTCCATAGCTTCTTTTTTTTTTACCAATTTGAATGGATCTATATATGGAAATATATACATATATATATATATATATATATATATATATATATATATATATAATGGAATATTATGCAACCTTAACAGAGAAGAAAATCCTGCAGTGTGTTACAAGGTGGAGGAAATAAAATTGTCACAAAAAAACCAAATACTTCATGACTTCATGATTATTTAGATATCAATAAAGATATCTAAAATAGTCAAACTCCTAGAAACAAAGTAGAATGGAGGATGACAGGGGCCAAAGATCAGGGGAAAAGGGAGATATGGTTCAGTGAATACAGAGTTATATTTTTGCAAGATGAAACAAATTCCAGATATCTGTTACATAAAAATGTGCATATAACTAACACTACTGTACTCTACACTTAAAAATGGTTAAGACAATAAATTTTATGTTGTGCATTTTTGATCACAATAAAAACAATTAAAAGCATGGGAACATGATGATATATTTATTGATACACAGAATGTCATTACTTAACATCATCAGTAGGTTCCTGGAAACTGCAGCTTTAAGCAAAAGGACACACAGCAGGTCATTGAATAACATTGTTTCCTTCAATGTTGTTTTGTTCTAAGGTTGATGAGAAAAAAATGGTTTTTCACATGTTATTTTGCTTAAAATAGTTTAATAAAACAGCACGGCAAAAAATAGCGAAAAACCTATGGATAATGTTAAGTGAGAATTTACTGAATTTACTTCTTTAGAACTGAATTTATAATAATCAGCTTAACATTTGCAGTGAACTGGCTTCCTGCAATGGAGTGACTGAAACGGGAATACTTGTTTATTTGAGCAGGCATCCTAGAGATTTATCTCATTCTCTCTCAATGTATACAATCATAAAAAAAAATCAACCGTCAAGTTTCAGACGTTTTTTACTTTAAGATTCCCAATAAAGATGAATTCTAGCAATGTTTGGTTGGATATGTAAAGCTAGAATTCAGGTCAGGCCTAGAGATCACCCATATTTAGAGGTGAAAGGAAAGCTGTGGGAGTGAGGGATATAAATAGAGAAGTGCAGAGTGCTAGGAACCTTGGGGGACATTAAAAATATATGGGCCTAATAAAACAAGAGCTGGAGTAGGAAAGTTTAAAAGGTCATAGGGGATATTCAGCCACAGACTTCTAGCCTTAGCTAAAAGATTGTGGGTATATTCCAAAAGGCACCAAATAAATATTTTTTCCACTAAAACAGTGTTTTTGGTCTCTTGTTTCTTATGTTAGTCTAAAGTAATAGTTAATTTCCTTAGGAGATCTTTTCTTCTGTATTTTACAAAGCATTTATGTTCCACACACACGCACACATACAAATACCTTGGGCAGAGAACTAAATTCAATTCTAAAGCACAGCTTGATACAAGTGTCAGAGAATTAAAAATAAAAAAAAAAGCAGCAATTAAAAAAAAAAGCTACTTGCTAAAAAATCACACAAGACCTGAAATGCAAAAAAAGGGAAAAGTATTTGGAAGATTGCAGAGATATTCATGCTTTAGAAAAACTGGATGAAGAGGCAATTTCTACCTAATTGTTGTATCGTCAATTTGCCAATGATGACAACCAATTTGCACATTTAACTAAAAAGAAAAAATATTAAACAACATCTGAATGCAAACGAGAAGTTTTGGTTGTTCCTTTTAATGGGCAGGTGAAACAGTTCTACAAAACCAAACATTCAACACAGAGAAATAAAACTATCAGCATTCAGTTTAACATTTAACTAGTAATTGTGGTAGTTGCCCTTAAAAATGTATATACATACACAAATACTTTGTATAAAAGCAACACAGAATGTCGTATGTCTGGGAGAGAATGAAAATGTATAGCTATAGTTCTCAATGAAGCTGTCTGACCATTTGACTACTTTAATTTTAGACAAAACTTCTATTCTCAACTTATTAAACATAATTGATTGGATATGCCCATTGCCAAAGCATCAGTGATTTGTAATCTGTAATGCCAAAAAAAGTAACTGAAATAAGAATAAGAAATTCAACCTAAAATGATTAAGGATGTCTTTGGAATGGATAATTGCCAAAAGATGTAATTTAGAGACAAGTTAGAAACTCCTGTTGTTCTGTCTTCCTAAGATTTTTTTTAATCAGATCAATCACTTTGCTTACAATGCTACAGTTACTCTGCCAAGTGGGAACGCAGAGAGGGAAAATAATTGTATTGAAATATGCAGATACAAGTATAAAATATATAAAATAAACAGAACCAGGATTTAGAGACATGTATGTGGTCTGTGGTCCTCTGCAGAAGCATCATTCCCCTGCAGTGCTATTCTCTCACCTCAACATTCCTGGTTGGAGGAAGCACTAGCCCATCCCTTTAACTGTAAAATAGGGCAGCAAGCCCAAGTTAGGGGCTTTTCTTCACCCACTGGGCATACCTGTCCTGTACTTGTCACACTTTCATTATTTACTTATCTATTTTTCCTGCTAAAGAGTAAGCTCTTTAAAGAAAGGGGCTGTTTTATCTTTGCATAATATCAAGCAATAAGAAACTCCTTTTTTACTAAGTTATTTGTTGTTTTCCGTCCTCTACTCAGTCTAGTAAATTCTAAGACAATTTATTCTCTTTTCAACCACGTTCATTTTGGAGATAAGAAGTTTCTATATTCATGGTGCAATTCTTGGCTTTACAACAGCCTTAGTGCCATACCCGTGGCTTCATCTTCCAGCTGGAAGAATTGACCTCCATCCAGTGCCTAAGGTATGACTATATTGTGGGAAATCAAGATCATTATACTTTCATTGTCCTATTCCATGTGTCTTTGTATATTTTAAGATCACATTTTTAAAGCAAATACTTACATAACAATTACAACATGTTAATCTACTAACTCATATAACCCACAATAATCCTTCAAGTCAGGAACCTTTATTAGCATCCCATTTCAGAGAGAGAAAAACTGAGACAAAGGGAGCAATAGGCAGAGCTGATATTTCAACCAAGGTTGTCAACCTGAATCTGTGTCCTCCATTCTGGCCCTATATAGGTACATTTCTCCATGATAGGTAAATTCTATCTGCCAAGTGCATTGAAAGCCCCTTGAGGGAAGAAGCTACAATGAATTTGAATTAAACAGTGAAATTCGAACCTGGAGATAGAATAACACTAAATAACTGTGCAAACTTTGATGAATCAGTTAGCCTTTCTGGGTTGATTATAATATGAGTATCTCCAAGGTCCATTCTTTAATATATATTACGATACATGAGATACTCTCTACAAAATAGTTGGCATGTCTGAGACCCTGAGTAAATGTTAGTTTTCCCCACCTCCAAAGCACTGTGATGCACTGAAATTTGCATTGTCCTCACAGCCCAAAAATAGAGAGATAAAATAAGCTTTAGTAAATACAAATTACCTGATGAATAAGAAAATAGAGCATACAATACTGAAAAAGAGTAAAGCAACCCAAACTTTCCATGCGCTTGAGGTCTGCAGTTTGTTTTTCATTGATGCATTTTCAGTGGCTGACATGATGGCATGAGCAATTTAGATAATCAGTAAAAATTTCTTAAATGAACAAACAAAATGTAAAATCTACACTGATATTTTATTGTTTTTAGCAATTATTACTTTACATCATGTGGGGATTTGGAAGAACATTTTGAAAAACAAAAGACATGAAAAAGAAGAAATTAAAACAAAAAGAAAAAATAAAACAAGATGTTAAAGAACATATATCAGACAAATTTCATTGCATTTTTATAAAGGTATACATGAATAGTGTAAAAAAAGGGCTTTTAAAATAAATGTACTTGTCCTTCATTTTATAAAGCAGCCAACATTTAAAAATCTAATACAATTTTACTGTTAAAATCAGTTTCATTTCTTTGGACACTAGTATATTCACTTTCATACATACAATGAAAAGTGGCCAAAGTATTTGCTGTAGATAAATTAGTAACCATTGAGAGCCACATTAGGGAGAATTACAAGCCTCAATATTTTATATATTGATTTGTAGGTGAGACTGCGGTCATTACAAAATTACTTAACATTTCAAAAAGTGAGGATCGGCTCAGTTCAATTACCAGTAATACATGGATAATAACAACATCCATCTCAAAAGGTAATTGTGAGATTTTCAGAAGCTAAGCCATGCAAAATCTCTAGAACAGTGCCAGCCACAGTGAGAGTTCAACAAATATTTGCTACTACAATAAATTAGTTATCTCCGATAACCAAGATGAAGGAGAACAGTAAGGATACCAAAGATCATGTACCCATGAGAAGATCTGTGTCTAAATAATTAATTTGGTACAGTGTTATGGTCCAACTTCTACAAAGGCTATATGGTGGGAATAAATTGTAGAAAATGGACTTCAGAAGATTTAGAACACTGACTTATTGATCATTTTAGAATTTGAGATATTACTGGAGAAATAGCGTTTTAATAACATAGAGCAAACTAAGCAAGAAATAAATATATTTCTTTGTTGTCATTTGAGGTAGATTTCCTTGTAGTGAGATGGGGGATGGTGAAGAAGGCAGCAGAAAAATGAGGAAAATCTCTTAGATGCTCAAATGTTAAAAGGCAATAGTATTTCCCAGACGCAGCACTGGGAAATGATGATGATTGTCATGCTGCTCCCTCTCTCTCCTTGCCAATAGTAAAGGCATGAGGACTTAGTCGGGTTTGAAACACTTTCTCTACATTCATCAGCTATATAATGAATGTAGAGAAAGTGTTCCAGAGTTACCTAAGCTCTCTAGGCCTCAATGTCTTCATCCGTAAGCTGGTAATAGTAGTAGTAGTAATCATAATAATGCATACATACATACATTAATGGATTGCAGTTATAATTAGCAACACTATAGGTAAAGTATCCTAATGAATACAAGAACCCTGATGAACAGTAGTTGTTGTGTTATATTGAAAGAGAAGCTGAGGTCCAAATTCTGTTCCGCTATAAAATAGGTGCATGATATTGGGAAAGTCATACCAATTCTCTAGGCTCAGTTTATTCACATAACAGATAAACCCTGTGACTGCTTATGAAAAATCTATCTACTTATAAATGTTCAGTGTCTCACTCCTCTACAGAGAATGAGAACTGTGGTGAAGCACTTGCTGTGTCACTTAATATTTAATAGACATTTATATATTCTTCAAAGACTCTGAATTATGAATTTTAGTCCTAAAATACCTTTCCCTTAGACTTACTAGCTTTATCCCATAATATAGTAACGTGTGTCTGAGAATGCATGTCATATGCACATGTGGAAACCAATGTATACTTGTGTGTGATGAATATTGGACAGATCAATAAGCAAAAATAATGGGGACATTCAAAACTTAGGAGAGTTCCTCAGGAATCTTACTCTGAATGCCAATTACATAGCATTTGTCAATTGTGACTGTTGATATGTGGAAATTTTGAGTGAGTCTCAAGCTTCACTCAGTAAACTATGTTGTGAAATTAACATACATTTTATGAAGGTCTAGAATATTAGTGGCTCTTCTATTTTCAATTTAATGAGCGAATATAAAAATGATTAGATTTATAAATGGTAGATAGGACCCAAATTTAGTTCACCTTATCTCCTTCAAACTCTAGTTCAAGTTTGCTGTTTAGTATTTCTTTAAGTACAAAGATTTTCTTTTTTTTCTTTCTTTTTTTTTTTTCATTTCTGGGGGAACCTATGAAAAACAAATTGATGAATCCTTAGGGCATGCCATGGTGTCCTGGTCCACTTCTGTGAAAGCCAATGTCTTCTTTGGGATATGTTGCTTACATCCAATAACTAATTAAAATCATCAATATAAAATGAACTTCATGTTTTAGTAATTAATTAGGAAATTATTTCAAGATTGAGCTGTTGATAATAGCCATCTTAACAGAGTATAATGATTCAAACAGCAATAATGTCAAAAAAATTACATTTTGAAATGCAGGTTTTGTCATAATATTCTGTTGAACATCTACTTAGCTTGTATTTAGGCTGTTCTGTTGTTTACATATGTAATTCTGTCTGTTATTACATGGTGTTGATTGTGTCTACCTCCCCTACCTAAGCATGGGCCCATGTCTTACCATTCTTTTTTATGCGCCACAACATCTATTATTTACTTCAAGAGCTAATAAACATATCACCACTTTTGAAGTAGCTCACCCAACACTTGGCAACAGAGTAAGCATTCAGGAAGAAAAAACGTTGGCCAGGCGTGGTGGCTCACGCCTGTAATCCCAGCACTTTGGGAGGCCAAGGCGGGCAGATCACAAGGTCAGGAGATCGAGATCATCCCGGCTAACACGGTGAAACCCCATCTCTCCGCAAAATACAAAAAATTAGCTGGGCGTGGTGGTGGGTGCCTATAGTCCCAGCTACTCAGGAGGCTGAGGCAGAAGAATGGCATGAACCCGGGAGGCAGAGCTTGCAGTGAGCCCAGATGGCGCCACTGCACTCCAGCCTGGGCAACAGAGCGAAACTCCATCCCAAAAAAATAAATAAATACAAAAATAATAATAATAGAAAATGTTTTGAAATTTTACTAGAATGAAAAACTGTGATAGTATGGATTTATCTTCTAACTTTTGAAATCTTAGGAGAATTGCTAAGCTGTTCATGCTTCAGTTAAAACAAACAAACAAAACAAAATAAAACAAAAACAAAATTAAATTATCTCCCAAAAATGAAAATCCATTTTACTTTATGAAACCCTTAGGAATTTTTACATACTGCCTAAGAAAATATCTAGTGATGTTTCTTATGGCAAACTATTCTTCAATTCAACTTAAAGCAATTATAAATAGAGAAATATTATGCATACATTAATATAAGTATGATTGAGTTTTTAAGGCAGACATAAAGCACCTTTATAAAGAAGTTCACGGATCTTCAAGGCTATGTGTGTGGTCTGTAGTCTTGGTTTTAGAAGGTCGGTCTGGCTCTCTGCCACTGCCAGCGTCCCATATTAGGTACAAGATTAAATGAAAAGCTGAAAAGAAAAACAAATAGGTTCAAAAGTTCAGAAACACAAAAGACTTGGGCAGGTGTTTAGAGAGACCAGTACTTAATATCATAGACTTCCAAATCAGAGATAAGGCTTGATATCAGGCTCTGATACCTACTAGATTCGTAATGTTAAGTGCTTTATTTATTGTCTGAAATTTAGTTAATTTATCTGTAATATAAAATTACTATTATGTTCTTTATCAGATTGTTGTTAGATACGATCATTTATGGCATATATGAAAATGTATTAGATACATTTATTATTTGCATTTTTCAGAGATATAAGAGAGGAACTTTGATGTTAGTAATTCCCAAGAGAATTTTCTCCAGCGATCATGCTTTCATGTAAAGTTTTTCATCATTTGAATTCTTTTTTAAATTTTTTTAAAAATGTTTATTTTAGTTTCAGGGGTACATGTGCAAGTTTGTTATATAGGTAAATTACATGTGTTGGGGGTTGGTTGTACAGATTATTTCATCACCCAGGTAATAAGTGTGGTACCCAATATGTAGCTTTTTGATCCTCCTCATCCTCCCATCCTCCACTCTCAAGTACACCCCAGTGTCTATTGATCCCTTCTTTGTGTCCTAGTGTATTCAATGTTTAGCTTCCACTTTAAAGTGAGAACATGCATTATTTTGTTTTCTGTTTCTGCATTCGTTTGCTTAAGATAATGATCTCCAGACCCCTTCCTTACACCATATACAATAATCAACTCAAGATAGATTAAAGATTTAAATGTAAAGCCTAAAACTATAAAAAAAAAACCCTTGAAGAAAACCTAGGAAATACCATTCTGAATATCAGCTCCAACAATGATTTCATGACAAAGATGTTAAAAGCAACTGAAATCAAAACAAAAATTGACAAATAGGACCTAATTAAACTAAAGAGCTTCTGCACAGCAAAAGATACTATCAACAGAGTAAGCAGACAACTTACAGAATGGGAAACAGATATTTGCAAACTGGGCATCTGACAAAGCTCTAATATCCAGAATCTATAAGAAATAAATAAGTTAACAAGCAAAAAACAAACAAGAAAAAGTGGACAAAGGAAACAAACACTGTTTTGTTTTTGTTTTTGTTTTTGAGACAGTCTCACTCTGTCACCCAGTCTGGAGTGTGGGGTGCCATCCTGGCTCACTGCAACCTTCACCTCCCAGGTTCAAGCAATTCTCCTGCCTCAGCCTCCTGAGTAGCTGAAACTACATGTGCATGTCACCACACCCAACTACAGGTGCATGTCACCACACCCAGCTAATTTGTTGTTGTTGTTGTTGTTGTTGTATTTTTAGCAGAGATGGGGTTTCACCATGTTGGCCAGGCTGGTCTCAAACTCCTGATCTCAAGTGATCCACCTGACTTGGCCTCCCAAAGTGTTGGGATTACAGGCATGAGCCACTGTGCCCAGCCAACACTTTTCAAAAGCCGACATAAATGTGACCAACAAGCATATGAAAAAATCAACATCACTAACCATTAGAGAAATGCAAATCAAAACCACAATGAGATATCATTTTGTACAAGTCAGATGACTATTAGTAAAAAGTAAAAAAAAGAAATAGCATATTGGCAAGGTTGCAGAGAAAGGGAACATTTATACACTGCTGGTGGGGATGTAAATTACTTCAGTCAATGTGGAAAGCAGTTTGGTGATTTCTTAGAGAAATTAAAGCAGAACTACCATTCAACCCACCAATCCCATTATTAGGTATATACCCAAAGGAATATAAATCATTCTACCATAAAGCTACATGCATGCATATGCTCATTTCAGCACTATTCACAACAGCAAAGACATGAGTCCACCTAGATGCCCATCAGCAGTGGACTGGATAAAGAAAGTTTGGCATATATGCACCATGGAATACTACATGGCCATAAAAAGAATAAGATCATGTCCTTTGCATCATTTAAATTCTGATCTTAATTATTTATATGCCACGGTGTAGAAAGCTGTAAATCCTCTCTGCCCTACATTATGTTGTTTACAAGATTTATATCAGAGGATGGAATAAAGACCCAGAATGCCTACCTACCAGATACATAGATGACATAATACTGACATAAGTAACAAATTCACTGGATGGCAAAATCAACAGGCCAGAAAAATGGGCACAGACACATAAAAAGTATAAAATCTAATAGGGATTGAAATAAATATTCATATTTCATTCCCATCCAATAAATGAACTATACATTTTCAAGGTAGAGGAGATTGGTTCTGGGGAAATATCAGGATTTGTGAATTGACCATGTGCTTCCTCTATGCCGACATCACTACTATTATATTAATTGGGTCCAAAACATATCTTCTACTTGTTGCTCTTGTTTTCTTATCCTTTGGAGTTCATTTATTCTACCATATCTACTCATTCCTACTTCTATCTATAGATTGGCACCTATAGACTGAAATGAGTGTTTTAAGAATATGAGTATTTAATACTTAATATGTATATTAGATGCTATTTCCTCTCCTAAAATATCAACTAAACTAAAGGATCAAGAACTAGGAAAAGTAAGTTCTAACAGTCAGAGAAACCTGTATTTGTATTCATATATACACATATACACACATGTATTCAGATTCTGTCATTTGCTAGCTGTGTGCTTTGGTTGTATAACTTTTATGAGCCTCAATTTTCTCTTCTGTGAAATAGGGGCAGGCAGTACATATACCATAGAATCTGTGATATATTTAAAACTTTCAGAAGGCTTTTAACTCCCTTCCTTCTCCTTCATGGAAGGCAGCTGCTAAGATTATAAAATAATTTGCTCTAAATGAGGTGAACTTGGGTCTCCTTGTGAGCACTATATTGAAACAGTAAATAATCAATGTAAAGAGAAGGTGAACTAGGATAGTGTGAAATAGGGGCCCTGAATATAAACAAAATGGTTAAAGAACCAAAGGATAGTTAGATGAGAAAATAAAACTTGGTGCAGTGTAGGGCTGGGCATAAAGTTTGTCTTCAGATACATAAAGGAATGTGATACAGAAGAGTGAGTCTATTGCTGCAAAGAACAGAAGTAGGAACCAAGGGTAAAAGTTACCAAGGGACTGCTTCGGGTTTACTATAAATAGGAATTATTTATTATAAATAAGAATTTAGATGGAAAACCTCAAGCATTTGATGAAAAATGGTCAGATGTACTATAGAGACATCCTCACACTGGGTAAAAATAAATGAGCTCTAGGTGACAACATTCATTTCATGTATATCATATATGAATATAAAGATACAAAAATAATTCATTATAAGCCTGTAAGTCTATTATTTCATGATAGATGACACAGAAGTTCCTGATACTTGTAAGAAAGAAAAATAATTGATGGCAATTGTGGAATCTCTGTGTCTTAGTCTGTTTTGTGCTCACCATAACGGAATACCTAAGACTGGATAGCTTATAATAAACACAAATTTATTTCTCACAGTTCTGGAGGATGGGAAGTCCAAGATCAAGGGATCAGTATCTGGTGAGGGACTTTCTGCTGGGTCCACACATGGCAGAAGAGTAAACAAACTAGGTGAACACTGCATAAAGCATTTATTATAAGGGCCTCAATCTCATCTATGAGGGGGGATCCATTATGCTAATCACCTCTTAAAGACTCTACTTCTTAATACTATCATATTCAAATGATAGCACTCTGCTTTGGATAACTTGAAATATATACTTGTAAGACATGTAGCTATTGCCTCAAGTATCATCACCTCTAAAATAGCAGGGCCTTAGCCCTCTCAAAATTTCTCCAAGTTATATGCAGGAATAACCAAAAGTATGCCTCATTTGTATTCAATTAAACCTATCAGCAGCGTATGTCCCCAGGTTTCTGTCCTGTTCTTACTCTTGTAATTTTGTTTTCCTGAATATACATCTCCTGAGCAAACCAGAGTAGCCTCACAACAGCCACTGCAGCCATGGGAACACCATGTCGAGCGATGAATGTTCATCTGGAAGTTCCCAAGGCTGAGTTCCATGGCCCACGGTTTCATGCAGAAACAACACCATCTTCCGCATCTCCAGGCCATTGTTTTGTTGCATGGGCCCTGATGCAGGTTTTCCCATGCTCAGAATTTCCCAAAGTCCCAACTTAGCAATGCCATCAGCCCTCTGGCTCTACCCTACCCTGTCAGTTCAAAACCAAGCCAAAAGGCCAATATGAAACAGGCTCCACACCAGCTCCATCCTTCCCTTCTACCCCTTTTTTCCTTTCTTTCTAATTCCTTGCTCCTGCCCAACCCAATGAAGACCAACTCTGTTTCTAGTTCCCAGTCACTAAATAAAAGCATCAATGCATAAAACCAAATAGATGTGGTTGGTATAGATTTATGTTGAGAATGCAAATAGGCAGTATGTTGGTGATGATATTTAGAAGGGGGGAAATTATTGTTTATTTTAGCAGCAGCTGGCCCAAATATCCTGTTTCATTTTTTTTTGTTTCAAGAGGAAGGCAGATTGCAAAGCTTTCTAAGATAACTTCAAATGTGCTAATATTATAATTCTATAAAGAGATTTCTTTCATGCGCTATAGAAATAGGCCATTAAATTTGCATGTCTAAAGGAACTTTTCACTAATTACTTTGCTTAAACTCAATTAGTATATCAGCCCATGTAACTGGCAAGAAAAAGGAGGACAAAGTAAATTATCCAACTTTCTTTCAGTGTGTGTATTAGAGAGGAATAAATCAGTCTCTTTTAACAGTTATACCTATATTTTAATCTGACTTTATAATGTGAAACAGTAAATTGCATTGACCTATTTTTAAAGGGCTTATCTGCTTGGTCTGCAGTCTTAAATAAAGACTGATTTAAGACTCTCCCTTAGAGGGAAATTGAAGATAGTAGAGTTAATATTTCAATATTTTTGTTTCTATGTGTCTTTTCTAGAGAAAGAAGGTTTCTTCTTTTCTGTCTCTCACCTTTCTATCCCCATGAAGTAACTTAAATGCAGTAAAACATTTCTTCTGTTAATCATGTTTTTGGGGCCTATTGCTTCAACAAATACATGACTGTATGAATCCTATTGCCATAATTTTACAAAGTAGAGGCTCTTCTTCCTACCTGGTTTATCAGAGTAGGTTTGCAGTGGCTATTCCAAAAGCAGGAATTCTAGGAACATCTGGCAGAGAGGAATTCAGTTTTAAGAGACATAAATTGTACTTAAATATTTCACTGAATAGCTGCTTGAGTTTGTACAAGGAACTTAACCTATTACTTCCTACTCTCACCATCCATGAATATGATTAAATATTCTATCCTTCCCACAGTTTTAAATAAGGATCAAATGAGATACTAGACTGGAAAATATTTATTTATTTATCCAATCTTTAAATACTGTTTACTTTTATACACCATGTAATTCTGTTTAAAATAGTATTATTTATAAAGCAAATAGCGTCCTACGCAAACCTTTAAATAGTGTTTACTTTGTGGGAGCACTATTCATAATGTTTATAAATATCAATCCATTTTATTTTCAGAACAGCCAGGTGAGTTGCAGCTATTACTATCCACATTTTCTAAATGAAAAAACAAAGGCACAGAGAGGTTAAGTAACTTGCACAACCTTTCCCAGCTAGTAAGTAGCTGAACTGAGATTTTAATACAGTCCATCTGGATCTGAAATACATCCTCTTAATCCCTCTGCTGTGCTGTTTCTCACTTTGAAAACTCCAATATGTTGTGCCAATTTTAGGCACTATTATATTACTTTTTACTTTAATTGCTTTACTCTCAAATGCGGATAGTCATACGCTGAAGGTTTACAATGTTGTGTCAAGGGTGTACTTCCAGATGCAGCCTAAGCCACAGAAAATTTATTAGAAGATTTGAGGAAGAAATAAATAATTAAACTGTTAAATTATTTAAAGTGTTCCCTTTATTTTAAAATAATCACAAATATTTTTAAAGAATAAAGCAAAAATCACAAAATTTTCATAGCAAGACATGAAAATTCAAATAATTTTAATGTGCAGAACAGAGAGCTATATCCCCATTAGATGCATATTTTGATGGAAATGATGGACAAGGATGAGAAGCCTTAGGAATAGTCAGCATCTCACTGAGAACAAAAAAAAAATTGATAATAATGATGTGTTTCTGAGTTATATATGGGATTTCTTATGTGGTACCCAGCAGACAGCTTTATGATTCTCATATATCTTTCCATTTCATGTTAGTTCCCTCCTAGATTTTAGATCACCAAAAAGGATTCTCTGGATTTGCACCAGGAACACCAGGACAAGACACTCATCTGCAGCTGTTGAGAGTATCACAGCTGATGGATTACAGCTATGTCTTCGATGAAAACTGCCCTCAGCTGGCTGCAAGGAACAGCCTCACTGAAAATTATGCCTCTCCTGGAGGTAGCTGTGGCCAATGCCTGTGGAGATACAAAGGCTAAGGCCTATACCTCAATTTGGGAAAACTCTGAAAGCCCAACCCAGCTGGAGCTTCCAATAAGGGGTGAGGCCTCAGTTGCATCCCCATGGTAGGCCCGCTCCTTTCTCTGCCTGTGTCCTCCATACTTCCTTAGAGATTTATCTCAGCATACTCCCCCAAAACCTTTGCATGCAACTCTGTCTCAGAGACTGTTTCCAGGGAATCCAATCTAAGACAACTGCTCTTTGGAATGTTCAGCTCCTGTGGTGTGGACTTGACAGATTAATTGACCATGATCATTGTTCTTTTTTTTTTTTTAAAAAAAAAGTCCACAGTGTTGAAGAGCAAAGCTAAATGAGAATGAAATCATCATGTTTTCAAGTATCAGAATGGGCTATACAAAGTGACTCAAAGCCATGTTCAAATGTGAGGATTAGAACCAGAGCATATGAGGGAACGAGATCTGGCTACTCAGAGAAGACATGGCTGGTACCACTTAACTGAGGTAGACAGTCTTACTGGCACAAGAGTTCTTTTCAAGGAGTGAGAACAGTCCTGTGTTAAAGGCATGACTCAGAGATGGACAGTCCAGAAGCAAAAAAAATCAATATGAGAGTGTACAAATGGACTCAATAAGAAAATGACAATAATGCTGCAGTATTCTTACAAGGCAGAAGAAAATATCCTAGTGAATTGCTGAACTACTCCTGACATTGTCTTCATCGCGAATCTTGTTATTGATTAGTTGTTGCCTATATAGGTCCCATGCTCACCACTTATTCCTAAGGATTTTGTCATCTTTACATAATAAAAATTTAAACATTTTCTGAAAATTATTCTCAAGCAATGGCAAAAATAGAGCATGAGATGTATAACCAGGTTCCCATCTGAGACAATGAGCAGGTTATTAAATAGCTCTGAAATCAGTTAATCTCCAGAATCCCTATTTTTCTTCTCTGTAAAATGAGGCAAAAATAATTATATAAATATTACAGACTTATTGCTAACCTTAAATGAGTTATTGCAAGTGAAAATTATCTCTAAATTATCACAGGTTTACAAAAATGTTTATTTTTAATCACTAAAAGAAGCTTTTATAAAAAAATTAAGCATAGCAATTTTAATTCATTCCTTAAGAAAATCAGAAACAGTATCACACTGAAAATAACACTAGATAAAATATAAAAATAACTTTCATAAAAGGTACATGATATTGGAAATTACCAAGTCAAAGCAGATGAGAAAATGGAAAGCAACAACTAAATGAAGAGGGAAGTTGCTTTTGCTTTGAGGGAATTTGCAAATTGTAGCACATTTGAATTTTCATTTTGATGACCAGCCAAGGCAAGATGGATAGAAATCTAATGGAGGAAATACAATGGTGAGGATTCTAGTAGGACAAAGTTCTCATAGTAATATGAAACACCAAACAGCTGCATTCTCAGAGTAAAAGTGAGTCAATCAGCCTTCATACTAATTTGTAGCCTGCACTTCACATTGCAGGGCTAGCTCTACTAACATCCGACTTTGATTCAAGACGGCTTTCAGGCCGGGCATGGTGGTTCATGCCTGTAATCCCAGCACTTTGGGAGGCTGAGGCAGGTGGATCACCTGAGGTCAGGAGTTCGAGACCAGCCTGGCCAATATGGCGAAACACTTCCTTTACTAAAAATACAAAAATTAGTCAGGTGTGTGAGCGTGCACCTATAATCCCAGCTACTTGGGAGGCTGAGGCAGGAGAACTGCTTGAACCCGGGAGGCAGAGGTTGCAGTGAGCCGAGATTGTGCCACTGCACTCCAGCATGGTTGACAGAGCAAAACTCTGTCTCAAAAAAAAAAAAAAAAAAAGAAAGAAAAGAAAAGAAAAGAAAAAGAAAGAAAGAAAGATGGCTTTGAGTGGGTTATGTCCCAGGCACCTGGGGCATAGTTATATCCAAGTTTTACCTGGAGGAAGTTGCATTCATGCTGTAGCTCAAGCATGAACCACTCACATACCAATGGAGGCACAGGAGGAAATGGAAAATCAGAGGAAGCCACAGAGAAAACAAAGTCTTCACGTCTGGTAATCACTGGAAAAATACTAAAAAACATAGTGCTTATTATACATAAAAGAACAACAGTTTATAATATCTGCAGAAAATAGGAAAGTATAAAAAAAGTCATTATGCATTTGAAAGAGAGCTAAACAGACTCGAGAAATTAAAAGTACAAAAGCTGTAAAAAAAACTTTCAAAGGCCCCACCTCCTAGGACCATCACCTTGAGGGTTAGGATTTTAAAATGTGAATTCTAGGGGCACACAAACCTTCAGACCGTAACAACATTTATTGGAAAATGAGTTAAAAGGATGTGCTATATGCACTTCACTTATTTGCCTTTTTATGCGGAGAATAATATAATGTACTCCACAAAACATTGTCTTTTTTGCATCCATTATAATGTTTATGTAAAATTAGTTAAAATTGCACAATAATTACCACTTAAAAGGTGTTTCTACGTGACTGGCTCTAAATTGGGCTTGTTAAATATATGATTCCATTTAATCACATATTGTTAACCTCATTTGAAGATAAGGAAACAGGCTCAGTATTACACTGCTAGTCAGTAAATAAGGAACGATTTAAATTCTCGTCTGACTTCAAAGCACATCCTCATAATCATTATTCTCTAATTTTATTTTTTTAATTTGTTCCTTTCATGTTTGAGGAAAATATAGGTGCCACACCTGGAAAGGAGTGAAAAATATGCTGAAATAACAGTTATCCGTCATATTTATTAAGCAGTGAGCTACTTCTGTACATTACCCTAATTTTTCAAGAATAATAATTTATAATTAATATTTATTCAATTAAGTAGTCAATTTGTACTTAGTGGTTAAGATAAATTTATATTTAATTTGATTATTTAATAGAGATAACTGCTTCATACATTTTTTATATTAGAGAAAGCATAATTACTGCCAATATTGATCTACTGGTATTTATTTTTAAAATTTTGAAAAGTTTAGTTCACATTTGTTAACCTGAAAATCTGGAGAGTGACTGTGATGACCATTCTGGTCCTTATGCTTTATCACCTACCACCATTATTGACCAGGCAAGAGTAGTATTTCCGATCTGGGCCTGCAAACAGAGAGATGTCTATATGGTTTCACTTGGGAAAGGTTCTGAGAAATTGGAACTATGATGATTACCTTCCTTTTATTTGTGTAATGAAATGAGAAAATTTTATAAATTTGAAAAATGTGACAAGTTGGAAAATACACTTCCAGAGATGGTAGTCATCTAAAAAAAAAACAGTGTTCACAGAATTAGTTTAGAAGTCAGGGATTTGGATCTGTGATCATACTTCTCCACATAAAATATGGGCTATTCTTCTCCCTGAGTAGCCGTCAACCCAGGTGTAACCCAGTGGTGCTGAATTTAGAGGCATGACATTCCCAGTGTCATGTTGGAGTGGGGATGGGGCTGCCTATTTTATATTTGAAACAGCTCCCAGCCATGGTTGGAATCATGAACATATTTCATTATTGACAAGTGAGGGGTCAGCCCCTAAAAGAAACAAGCAGGCAAGCAGAAGGATGGTTTGAAGTGGTCTGGTGACATTGTTGGAAGGGTTGTAGAAAGTCCCAGCCTGAAACAAGTCAATTGCAATGTTCACAAGCATCCAGGTGCTGTGTCTATAGAAGGATACCCCAAGTCTGATGTGTTGTCAGAACCCAAGAAGATAATAATGCCACAAAGGGGACAGGCAAAATAGAGAAGATTATTCTGAAGGGCCATTGCCTCAAAGGTGATAGGAGGCTCTTATTACTGAGACAGATCAGCTCTCCACCTCTGTCAAGTTTCTCGAGCATAAGATTGAGGACCTCACTGAGCCAGCCTTCTTTGCTTTCTTGATATCAGTGCCGGAGGAGGGGTTGGGACTAGGCTGATGGGGCTGAGGACCTCACTGAGCCAGCTTTCTTTGCTTTCTTGTTATCAGTGCCTAAGAAGGGGTGAGACTAGGCTATGGGACTGGGGTTGACATTATCCTATTAAGAGAAGAAAGAAATCTGTGAGGGGAATGGAGGATCTCACTCCAGCTGTCCCTGTTCCTGTCATGACTGCCTCCTCACTCTGTAGTTGCAAGGCCTCACAGAGGAGCCTCAGCTTTTTCTTATCTGTCTTTAGCATCAGCATTGACACAGAATCATACACTGTGAACTAGAGTGCTTCCACAGATAAGAGAAACGCTGCTTCAAAAGATCTCTAATTAATTCATTTGTTCTTCCTCAACAGACACTTAATAATCACCAGGATGGTTAAAAATCCTATGTGACAGACAATCTAGCATTCACCATTTAAAAAGTCTACATATTTACATCAGTATAAGATATTTGCCAAAATAATTAAAATTTTAGTTAAATGTGATGAGTATCTCTCCACAAATAAGGCACTAACTGAATTAAAGAAGATAAAAGATCACTTCACACGCACAAACACAGATCTTATTAATATGAACTGAAAATGAATCTTCAGAATCTATGTCTCTTACTTTAGAACATTGGGACTTTGGTTTATTTCCTTAAACTTATCCAAATTCCAAAGGTTATTGATTCTGTTACTGACCACATTTGTAAATTCTTTCTTTACACTAGAATGTAATCCTTTAGTATCTAAAGACTGAATACCATTTAAAGGGTCAAAGTATTCCCTTTCTATCTTCTCTTCTGTAGTGAGCTTCAACTCCTTCTTTCTCTTTTTTTATGTCTCCTTGTTAAGGAAACAAAAGTAAACAGTAGTTGAGTATGTCTGTTATTTCCATCAGGTTAACAAAAATGTGAGTCCTTCTTAAATAGTTCCCTGTTGTTCAGTTTATGTTCTTGTCTGATATTAACAAATATAATTTCTCTTATTGTCTTGGGCTATTTTCATAGATCTCAACACAGTCTGAGCTTTGGGGTATCCTGACTGTATTGCTACCGACCTAGATGCTCTGTCTAAGGCATTGTTTTCACATTAAGAGTTAATGATTCTAGTGATCTCTCTGCATCCATTCTCCTTCCTTTTGTATGTGTTGTTTTAAAGGCTAACTTCAGAGAGCTCTGTATGTAGTCAACGTGTTCTCTTTTCATCTTCTGTGGAATTATCAGAGTTTCACTGTAGAAAATCGCATCTTTTTCTGTATCAAATTTTATTTAAATGTATTTATATAACAAGAAAATGAATATGGATTTACTGGAAAATTAATACAGAAGTTTAGAAAATGAAAAGATAAATTTCCCCTGTGCCCACAACAATCCCAATTCCATACCCAGAGGTGGTTGTCATTTTTACTTTTATGTTTCAATATCACTTTATAGTGATGTTGTCATTTAAAATAGCAGAAGATATATTATCTGAGCATCTAAACACCATAACTTTCTAAAATTTTAGTATGTGTTTTGATCCTCAATTTATAAACCAATGTGCTATAATAATTGAAGAAATTATAGTTCATGATGCTATTGTGCTATATATAGGGCATGATGCTTGGTAAGGTGCTGCAGCTGGCCAGTTTGTGTTGCCATGGAATCCTGGTTCTTTGTTATATAGGCAGAGGATGTGGAACCTGAAAAAGGGGTTGCATTGACGTCACAGTATTGCTGCAGGAATGACATAGGTCATCTAGGATTATCATTTGTTCATATGTTTTGACAGTTAAAGCTCTTTTTAAACCAATGAATTGTTCAAGTATGTATTATATACCTTTTTTATTATAGTGCACTATGGATTTGAAATGTCTAAATGGTGGAAATAGCATTGAACTAAAACATGGCAAATCGTGATTATTATGGATAAATGATACATATGTGGGTATTTGGATTGTTAAAAAGCAAACACATGTATTGTGCAATTGTTTTCATGTTGGTACATATATAGTTCTGCATCACACTATTTAATAGCTGCATGGTATTGTACAGTTTACATATCACTTGTGATTTCAACAGGAAACACTTTTGGGCAGGTTGAAGGGAACCAGCAAAAGATGGTGAAATACCCAGGTATTGGCAAAGGAAGAAAGCAATTACCACCTCTCAGCCTGAGAAAACAAGGAGAGGATGTTCTTTGTTACTGGATTCCAGTGAATGCTGTGGTCATGGGAGGCTTGCCCAGACTTGCCCAGTGAGAAGTCTGGCCATCGGTAGAGGGATGCAGCCACTACCAACCACAGTATGGCAGAGAAGTAGCAGAGAAGAAATAAAAGAAATCCCCTCTCACTCTCCAATTCTGTTGTTGCCTCCATGCGCCAATCCAAACCGAAAGCCAGAAGGTAAGGGAACCCCACATCAGCCTCCAAGCAATAAGAGCAGGACAGAGAAAGGATATAGAGGGGCAATCACAGAACAGTGAACAATGCATGTGTAGAAGGGTCATTCTGTAAACCTTTATTAAAGGTTTAATTTTAACTCAGTGAATATTAAAATGTTCTGCAGAATGAGAGGCATCTTAAGTAAAGTAAAAAGACAAGTACCAGATTGGGAGAACATATTTGTAAAGATAAAAATATTATATATATATATATATATTTATATATATATATAAAATAGAAAAGATTACTAACCACAGTATATTTTTAAATGTTACTTTAAGAACAAACAACCTAATAAATCCATCTACCTATTAATATCTATCACTTCACAGTTACCTTGTGTGTGTATGTGTGTGTGTGTGTGTGTGTGTGTGTGTGGTAAAACCATCTGGACTCTACTCAGCAAATTTTCAGTATACAATACAATATTATTAACTATGATTCTGATGCTATACATTTGATCTCTAGACTTATTCATCCTATATAACTGCAACTCTGTAATTTTTGACCTACATATTTCCTTCCCCTCCCTCCTCTCACCTCACCCTTTGTAACCACTGTTCTACTCTGTTTCTTTTATGTATTCTATTTTTTAAAAAAATCTGTGTGTAAGTGAGATTATGCAGGGTAGTTTATTTCTTTCAATGTCTGGCTTATTTCACTTAGCAAAGTGTCCTTCAGGTTCATCTATGTTGTCACAAATGTCAGAATCTCTATCTTTCCAAAGACTAAATAGTATTTAATTGTGTGTGTGTATACACATACCACATTTTAAAATCCATTCATGTGTTAATAGATATTTAAGTTGATTCTATGTTTTGGCTATTGTAAATAATGCTGCAATAAGCGTGGTAGTACAAATATCTCTTGGACACGCTGATTTCATTTTCCTTTTGAAACATACTCAGTGGTGGAATTGCTGTATCATATGGTAGTTCTGTGTTTAACTTTTAAGGAACCTCCGTGCTGTGTTAAACTGGCTTTACCAGTTTACATTTCCAACAGTTGTATACAAGGGCTCTCTTTTCTCCACACTCTCACCAATACCTATCACTTGGTTGTTGTTTTTTTTCTCTCTTTTTAAGTTTTATTTTTAAAATAATAGCCATCCCAATAGGTGTGAGGAAATATTTCATAGTGGTTTTGATTTTTATTTCCCTGATGATTAATGATGTTGACGAATTTTTACATACCTTTTGGCGACTTGTATGTTTTCTTTGGAAAAAAAGCCTATGCAGGTCCTGTGCTCATTTTAAAATCTGGTTATTTGTGGTTTTGTTTTTTGGGGTTTTGTTGTTGTTTATGTTGAGTAGCATGAGTTTCTTATAGATTTTGGATATTAATCCCTTATCAGATATATAGCTTGCAAATATTTTCTCCCAATTTGTAGGCTGCCTTCTCATTTCATTGATTGTTTCCTTTACTCTGAAGGAGCTTTTTAGTTTGATGTAGTCCCACTTGTTTATTTTTGCCTTTTTTGCCTGATATTTTGGTGTGATATACAAAAAACTCATTGTCAAGGCCCTATGTTTTCTTCCAGGAATTTCATAGTTCCAGGTCTCACTAAAATAATGTTTAAATGATGAACGGTATTTGTCGTCTTAAGATAAATACTTGGTTATGTTTTACTACTTTTTTAATACAGTAAGAAATTTAATTTGATGATTTTAAAAAGTTGTATGTTCATATATGACATTGGGCTATTAGGTTTTTATGACAGTCTTGTGGTACTGGTGTTATAGTAGCCTTGTGATGAATAAGGAAACTTTTATCTTTATTCTTTGCTTTGAAACAGCTTAAATAAAAAGAATTATTAGACAACTCATAAGTCCCTTACAAGATGATTTGAATTCACAAAATAAGCAGATGTCATTTAAAACAGTACTACTTTGAAGTTTTTTTAGTTGTTTTTAGTTTGTTAAGGTATTTTACTTCATTTTCCCAGACACTTTTGTCACTTTTGTTGTCCTAGAAAATGATTATTTCATTTAAATTTTTAAATATATCACCATAAATTTGCACATAATGTTATCTTATTTTTCATTTTCTCAACATCTGTAATTATGTCCTGTTTCTTTTTCATAATGTTATTAGTGAATTGTCTTTTTTCCCATTAATCAGACTTGCTAGCATTTTTAATATTTTGTTTATTAATGTTTTCCAAAAATTCATCTTTTAGCTTTCTGTTGTTGTTGTTCTCTGTATTATGAAGCCTAGATTTATCATTGTTTATATTCGTTCTCTCTATATTCTTGGAATTATTTTCAACATCTCTAATTAAAGGTTTAATCTATTATTGATACTTTTCATTGCAGATAAGGCTATAATTGTTTCTCCCAGAATCAACTTGGAGGGAAAGATAGTAAAAGAATAGTTTTTATTTTTATTTATTTATTTTTTTATTATTATTATACTTTAAATTTTAGGATACATATGCACAACGTGCAGGTTTGTTACATATGTATACATGTGCCATGTTGGTGTGCTGCACCCATTAACTCATCATTTAGCATTAGGTATACCTCCTAATGCTATCCCTCCCCGCTCCCCCCACCCCACAACAGTCCCTGGTGTGTGATGTTCCCCTTCCTGTGTCCATGTGTTCTCATTGTTCAATTCCCACCTATGAGTGAGAACATGCGGTGTTTGGTTTTTTTGTCCTTGCGATAGTTTGCTGAGAATGATGGTTTCCAGCTTCATCCATGTCCCTACAAAGGACATGAACTCATCATTTTTTATGGCTGCATAGTATTCCATGGTGTATATGTGTCACATTTTCTTAATCCAGTCCATCATTGTTGGACATTTGGGTTGGTTCCAAGTCTTTGCTATTGTGAATAGTGCTGCAATAAACGTACATGTGCATGTGTATTTATAGCAGCATGATTTATAATCCTTTGGGTATATGCCCAGTAATAGGATGGCTGGGTCAAATCGTATTTCTAGTTCTAGATCCCTGAGGAATCGCCACACTGACTTCCACAATGGTTGAACTAGTTTACAGTCCCACCAACAGTGTAAAAGTGTTCCTATTTCTCCACATCCTCTCCAGCACCTGTTGTTTCCTGACTTTTTAATGATCTCCATTCTAACTGGTGTGAGATGGTATCGCATTGTGGTTTTGATTTGTATTTCTCTGATGGCCAGTGATGATGAACATTTTTTCATGTGTTTTTTGGCTGCATAAATGTCTTCTTTTGAGAAGTGTCTGTTCATATCCTTTGCCCACTTTTTGACGGGGTTGTTTGTTTTTTTCTTATAAATTTGTTTGAGTTCATTGTAGATTCTGGATATTAGCCCTTTGTCAGATGAGTAGGTTGCAAAAATTTTCTCCCATTCTGTAGGTTTCCTGTTCACTCTGATGGTGGTTTCTTTTGCTGTGCAGAAGCTCTTTAGTTTAATTAGATCCCATTTGTCAATTTTGGCTTTTGTTGCCATTGCTTTTGGTGTTTTAGACATGAAGTCCTTGCCCATGCCTATGTCCTGAATGGTATTGCCTAGGTTTTCTTCTAGGGTTTTTATGGTTTTAGGTCTAACATTTAAGTCTTTAATACATCTTGAATTAATTTTTGTATAAGGTGTAAGGAAGGGATCCATTTCAGCTTTCTACATATGGCTAGCCAGTTTTCCCAGCAGCATTTATTAAATAGGGAATCCTTTCCCCATTGCTTGTTTTTGTCAGGTTTGTCAAAGATCAGATAGTTGTAGATATGCAGCATTATTTCTGAGGGCTCTGTTCTGTTCCATTGGTCTATATCTCTGTTTTGGTACGAGTACCATGCTGTTTTGGTTACTGTAGCCTTGTAGTATAGTTTGAAGTCAGGTAGCATGATGCCTCCAGCTTTGTTCTTTTGGCTTAGGATTGACTTGGTGATGTGGGCTCTTTTTTGGTTCCATATGAACTTTAAAGTAGTTTTTTCCAATTCTGTGCAGAAAGTCATTGGTAGCTTGATGGGGATGGCATTGAATCTATAAATTACCTTGGGCAGTATGGCTATTTTCACGATATTGATTCTTCCTACCCACGAGCATGGAATGTTCTTCCATTTGTTTGTATACTCTTTTATTTCATTGAGCAGTCGTTTGTAGTTCCCCTTGAAGAGGTCCTTCATGCCCCTTGTAAGTTGGATTCCTAGGTATTTTATTCTTTTGAAGCAATTGTGAATGGGAGTTCAACTCATCATTTGGCTCTCTGTTTGTCTGTTATTGATGTATAAGAATCCTTGTGATTTTTGCACATTGATTTTGTATCCTGAGACTGCTGAAGTTGCTTATCAGCTTAAGGAGATTTTGGGCTGAGACAATGGGGTTTTCTAGACATTCAATCATGTCATCTGCAAACAGGAACAATTTGACTTCCTCTTTTCCTAATTGAATGCCCTTTATTTCCTTCTCCTGCCTGATTGCCCTGGCCAGAACTTCCAACACTATATTGAATAGGAGTGGTGAGAGAGGGCATCCCTGTCTTGTGCCAGTTTTCAAAGGGAATGCTTCCAGTTTTTGTCCATTCAGTATGATATTGGCTGTGGGTTTGTCATAGATAGCTCTTATTATTTTGAGATACGTCTTATCAATACCTAATTTATTGAGAATTTTTAGCGTGAAGCATTGTTGAATTTTGTCAAAGGTCTTTTCTGCATCTATTGAGATAATCATGTGGTTTGTGTCTTTGTTTCTGTTTATATGCTGGATTACGTCTATTGATTTTCGTATGTTGAACCAGGCTTGCATCCCAGGGATGAAGCCCACTTGATCATGGTGGATAAGCTTTTTGATGTGTTGCTGGATGCGGTTTGCCAGTATTTTATTGAGGATTTTTGCATCAATGTTCATCAAGGATATTGGTCTAAAATTCTCTTTTTTTGTTGCGTCTCTGCCCGGCTTTGGTATCAGGATGATGCTGGCCTCATAAAATGAGTTAGGGAGGATTCTCTCATTTTCTATTCATTGGAATAGTTTCAGAAGGAACGGTACCAGCTCCTCCTTCTACCTATGGTAGAATTTGGCTGTGAATCCATCTTGTCCTGGACTTTTTTTTGGTTGGTAAGCTCTTAATTATTGCCTCAATTTCAGAGCTTGCTATTGGTCTCTTCAGAGATTCAACTTCTTCCTGGTTTAGTCTTGGGAGAGTGTATGTGTCAAGGAATTTATCCATTTCTTCTAGATTTTCTAGTTTATTTGCATAGAGGTGTTTATAGTATTCTCTGATGGTAGTTTGTATTTCTGTGGGATCGGTGGTGATATCCCCTTTGTCATTTTTTATTGCGTCTCTTTGATTCTTCTCTCTTTTCTTCTTTATTAGTCTTGCTAGCGGTCTATCAATTTTGTTGATCTTCTCAAAAAACCAGCTCCTGGATTCATTGATTTTTTGAAGGGTTTTTTTTGTCTCTATTTCCTTCAGTTCTGCTCTGATCTTAGTTATTTCTTGCCTTCTGCTAGCTTTTGAATGTGTTTGCTCTTGCTTCGCTAGTTCTTTTAATTGTGATGTTAGGGTGTCAATTTTAGATCTTTCCTGCTTTCTCTTGTGGGTATTTAGTGCTATAAATTTCCCTCTATGCACTGTTTTTAAAGTGTCCCAGAGATTCTGGTATGTTGTGCCTTTGTTCTCATTGGTTTCAAAGAACATCTTTATTTCTGCCTTCATTTCGTGTACCCAGTAGTCATTCAGGAGCAGGTTGTTCAGTTTCCATGTAGTTGAGCAGTTTTGAGTGAGTTTCTTAATCCTGAGTTCTAGTTTGATTGCACTGTGGTCTGAGAGACAGTTTGTCATAATTTCTGATCTTTTACATGTGCTGAGGAGTGGTTTACTTCCAACTATGTGGTCAATTTTGGAATAGGTGTGGTGTGGTGCTGAAAAGAATGTATATTCTGTTGATTTGGGGTGGAGAGTTCTGTAGATGTCTATTAGGTCTGCTTGGTGCAGAGCTGAGTTCAATTCCTGGATATCCTTGTTAACTTTCTGTCTCATTGATCTGTCTAATATTGACAGTGGGCTGTTAAAGTCTCCCATTATTATTGTGTGGGAATCTAAGTCTCTTTGTTGGTCTGTAAGGACTTGCTTTATGAATCTGGGTGCTCCTGTATTGGGTGCATATATATTTAGGATAGTTAGTTCTTCTTGTTGAATTGATCCCTTTACCATTATGTAATGGCCTTCTTTGTCTCTTTTGATCTTTGTTGGTTTAAAGTCTGTTTTATCCGAGACTAGGATTGCAACCCCTGCCTTTTTTTCTTTTCCGTTTGCTTGGTAGATCTTACTCCATTCCTTTATTTTTAGCCTATGTGTGTCTCTGCACATGAGATAGGTTTCCTGAATACAGCACACTGATGGGTCTTGACTCTTTATCCAATTTGCCAATCTGTGCCTTTTAATTGGAGCATTTAGCCCATTTACATTTAAGGTTAGTATTGTTATGTGTGAATTTGATCCTATCATTATGATGTTAGCTGGTTAGTTTGCTCATTAGTTGGTGCAGTTTCTTCCTAGCCTTGATGGTCTTTACAATTTGGCATGTTTTTGCACTGGCTGGTACCGGTTGTTCCTTTCCATGTTTAGTGCTTCCTTCAGGAGCTCTTTTAGGGCAGGCCTGGTGGTGACAAAATCTCTCAGCATTTGCTTGTCTGTAAAGTATTTTATTTCTCCTTCACTTATGAAGCTTAGTTTGGCTGGAAATGAAATTCTAGCTTGAAAATTCTTTTCTTTAAGAATGTTGAATATTGGCCTCCACTCTCTTCTGGCTTGTAGAGTTTCTGCCGAGAGATCAGCTGTTAGTCTGATGGGCTTCCCTTTGTGGGTAACCCGACCTTTCTCTCTGGCTGCCCTTAACATTTTTTCCTTCACTTCAACTTTGGTGAATCTGACAATTACGTGTCTTGGAGTTGCTCTTCTCGAGGAGTATCTTTGTGGCATTCTCTGTATTTCCCGAATTTGAATGTTGGCCTGCCTTGCTAGATTGGGGAAGTTCTCCTGGATAATATCCTGCAGAGTGTTTTCCAACTTGGTTCCATTCTCCCTGTCACTTTCAGGTACACCAATTAGACGTAGATTTGGTCTTTTCACATAGTCCCATATTTCTTGGAGGCTTTGTTTGTTTCTTTTTATTCTTTTTCCTCTAAACTTCTCTTCACACTTCATTTCATTCATTTCATCTTCCATCGCTGATACCCTTTCTTCCAGTTGATCGCATCAGTTACTGAGGCTTGTGCATTCATCACGTAGTTCTGGTGCCTTGGTTTTCAGCTCCATCAGTTCCTTTAAGTACTTCTCTGCATTGCTTATTCTAGTTAGCCATTCATCTAATTTTTTTTTCAAAGTTTTTAACTTCTTTGCCATTGGTTAGAACTTCCTCCTTTAGCTCGGAGTAGTTTGATCTTCTGAAGCCTTCCTCTCTCAACTCGTCAAAGTCATTCTCCATCCAGCTTTGTTCCATTCCTGGTGAGGAGCTGCGTTCCTTTGGAGGAGGAGAGGCGCTCTGATTTTTAGAGTTTCTGGTTTTTCTGCTGTTTTTTCCCATCTTTGTGGTTTTATCTACCTTTGGTCTTTGATGATGGTGACGTACAGATGGATTTTTGGTGTGGATGTCCTTTCTGTTTTTTAGTTTTCCTTCTAACAGTCAGGACCCTCAGCTGCAGGTCTGTTGGAGTTTACTGGAGGTCCACTGCAGACCCTGTTTGCCTGGGTATCAGCAGCAGTAGCTGCAGAACAGCGGATATTGGTGAACCGCAAATGCTGCTGCCTGATCATTCCTCTGGAATTTTTGTCTCAGAGGAGTACCCGGCCGTGTGAGGTGTCAGTCTGCCCCTACTGGGGGGTGTCTCCCAGTTAGGCTACTCGTGGGTCAGGGACCCACTTGAGGAGGCACTCTGCTCATTCTCAGATCTCAAGCTGCATGCTGGGAGAACCACTACTCTCTTCAAAGCTATCAGACAGGGACATTTAAGACTGCAGAGGTTATTGCTGTCTTTTGTTTGTCTGTGCCCTGCCCCCAGAGGTGGAGCCTACAGAGGCAGGCAGGCCCCTTTGAGCTGTGGTGGGCTCCACCCAGTTTGAGCTTCCTGGCCACTTTGTTTACCTACTCGAGCCTGAGCAATGGTGGGCACCCCTCCCCCAGCCTCACTGCCGCCTTGCAGTTTGATCTCAGACTGCTGTGCTAGCAATGAGCTAGGCTCTGTGGGCATAGGACCCTCCGAGCCATGTGCGGGATGTAATCTCCTGGTGTGTCGTTTGTTAAGCCTGTTTGAAGAGTGCAGTATTAGGGTGGGAGTGACCCGATTTTCCAGGTGCCGTCTGTCACCCCTTTCTTTGACTAGGAAAGAGAATTCCTTGCACTTCCCAGGTGAGGCGATGCCTCGCCCTGCTTCGGCTCACGCATGGTGCACTGCACCCACTGTCCTGCACCCACTGTCCGGCACTCCCCTGTGAGATGAACCCGGTACCTCAGTTGGAAATGCAGAAATCACCCGTCTTCTGCATCGCTCACGCTGGGAACTGTAGACTGGAGCTGTTCCTATTTGGCCATCTTGGCTCCACCCTCAAGAATAGTTTTTAAAATGCTTTTCATTTTTACTTATATAATAGGATGAGGTTAAAATGGACGTTTTGGCTGAAACTCGAGAACACTAGAAATTACATCTCAGGGTAAGATAACCCTATAAAGAATAATTTTCAATCAGATATTTGTAAGACTTTAGGCAACTGTTAAGTTCCTCACTCACATCTAGGCTATTAAAGGGTCAGGAGTTTCATTTGGTAAAAATTGTGGAAGAGGATTTCTCTGGATTGAACTTTGCTGAAGAATCACAACCACTGTCTCTCTCCTACAAGGAAGAAGAGTGAGGAGTTTGCTACATCCCAGCTCCACATCACTGGAAATGGGATTTGAGGTAATGACTAGGAGTTTAACCTGTATTCCCTGCAGTTAGAAGGACAGTATTGGTAGCCTGGGGTCTGAGTCTAGACTAAGAAATGAACATGCAGCAGGCTGTAGTGGTTTTGTGGCAGCAAAATCATGACCTGAAGTTTGGTGGGAAGCTGTTCTTCCACAGTTTATTGGGAAAAAGACTTGTAATTTCCATTGACCAGACCTTCATAGAGAGGCAGCATCATCTCTCTCCCAATCCCTTCATCCAACCGCACCAGCTAATTAGAGGACCTGATTAGCTAGAAGGAGAGAAGGAGTAAAAGAATTAGGGGAGGAAAAAGAGGGGAAGCCAATCAGCTTCCTTTCTTTTGTTGTTTGTCCACAGTAGGACCTACAAGGGAAAGGGGGATATGCCTGAAATCAAGGTTAGATTCTTTGATGATGACATAGGACTGGACATTTTAGGGGCTGAATTGAGACTCTAGTAAATGAATGAACAGGAATTATTAATTTATAATAAATCGTGAGGCTACCCAGTTTACCTGAACAGGGAAAAGGGGAAGAAATATCTCCACTCATCAACTGTAAAAGACAATGAGAAGCAAAACTAGAATCACTTTATGACTACATCCCATGAGTCATGTTTGTTCCCATTATAGTTATATTGGCTTGACCTGATGATTTCTGAGAGGAAGTGTTAACATCCCCTATTATGGTTATGTCTTTACCTACTAGTCCTTATATAGTTCACTGGGTTTGCTTTAGCATATGTTAAACTGTTACAGCTAGGAGAATAAAGACTCCTAACTGTTTTATAAGTTCCTAGTAAAAGGGACTTTGTGTCATAATAAAATAGGCCTCTTTACCCAAATAATTGATCTTCACATTGAATTCTATTTTTTAATTATATCACTGTTGCCACAGCCATTTTTAAAATAAATTTTACTAGATATTTTTTTTCCATCCTACATTTTTAAACAGTGTATCATTTTGTTTGGGATGTGTCTCTTAAAAATACCATTTAGTAACTTGGGTTGTCTATTTGTTCTTATTCTGGTTTCTTTTTTCCTTTTTTCTTTTTTCTTTTTTCTGTTTAACTTTTTAAATTCAATCCAATGTTATCTCTGTCATAGAAAAATTTATACCTCCATATTTATTTTGATTACTTTTTATGTATTTTTAAATTGCTTATTATTTTTTAAAATTATTTTGACATAATGAAACAAACATGGTAAAACATTTTAGGTTATTTGTTTACCATGTAATTTTGTTACCTAAGTTGTTCTCTTGAGGTTTTGGTCAGGATTCTCTATCCCAAGTGGTAGATGCACGACTCAAAATAATATAAGAAAAAAATGTATATGTGTTTATGTGAAGGCTGAAGCAAGAAACACACAGAACAATGAGAGGAAAGTGACCCTCCGTGTCGACAGAATATCAGGGCTTAAATAGCATCAGAGTAATCTCTCCACCTTCCTGTCGCCAAGCTTATCTTCCTCTCTTTATTGTCATCATTTTCTCAGGCTTCTTATTCTTGCAGCTCCTACTTGAATAGTGATGGCTTTAGGCTCATATTCTTATAATTCTAAATCCTGTGGGATGAAAGAGTTCTTTTCATTTTTTCCTCAGTAAAACAAAATTGCAGGAAAGGATTCAGATGAACTTGGTTTTGATCACGTTAGAACAGTTACTGTTGCTTGGGAATTGAGTCATCATGACTGAAAAGAGAGGTTCTGTTAATGGGAGAATAAGGGAAGGAATTATATTGCAAGGGACGACATCACATTTTCAGGAGGCCTCATTGATTCTGGGTCAATCTTGTTTACTCTACTGTTTAGACATTTTACAATCCATATTCATTATCTTAGTGACTTACATTAAAATTTAATACATATTTGAAGATATACCTATTTTTCTACATATATCTTGATTGGTTTAAGTATCTAGATGCAGTTCCAAATGCAACAGAAACTTCAACTTGTTTCACATCTCCTTATGCACATCCACTCACATCCACCTACCATGTTGATATCACCTGAATTGTAACAGGTTCATATTGTTTTCAATTTTATGAGATATGTGCCAGTAATTATTTGCTTTCACTATACTCTTCCTGTCCTGTTACATTTCAATAATAGTAATGTTTTCTGGATTTGCCATGCTGTGGAAAATTATCAACCCAGCATGTGGTGTTCAGTTTCATTAATATGGCCAGTAACTGAAATTGCTTATGGGGAATTTCCAATGAGGTTATCTGCAGAAAATCTACTTACGGTAGACATTTGTTTGCATAGTAAACATGCACCTAAAAATTCTGGTGTTCATTAAATCTCTGCATAAACAAATTCAGTTTTAACTTCTGCATCAAAACACCTAATTCAGAAAGCTCCATTCACAGCATAGCCTAGAAGCTCAGGGAGGCCAAGGAGTTTGCTTCAGACATGCAGTGAGGCAGTGACAGACTGACCCTATAGATGCTGCATTCTAAACCTCATATCGTAATTATTTCCCCATTGCTACAAATCCACAAGTACATTGCTTGTAGGATCACGAGAAAAATATGGCTGAAGGTAAGTTTTTTCCTGGATTCTGAAATAATCAGAGAATATTCCTAGGATTTATATTCTATATTTCCATTTCAAAGGCTTTCCTTTTCAGCTAGCCTGTCTCTCATCTGCGTCTCTCATGTTGCTGTTATCCTGTGGAATTAATATCCTGTACCCAGCTTATGGAGGACAAAAGAAGCAAGCAGATTTGAGTATCTTCTGTGAGGCAGGAAGTGCAAACAGCAATGATACCAAGTTCTAGAACAGAAATTCCTAAAGTGGCTAGATGGCCTGCTTCTTCAAGGCCCGTTACCACCTGTCCAGCACGCTAGCAACTGCTGGCCCTGGAAGCAGGTATCCCTTTAAGGGCTGGAATTGTGCAGGCTGGCGACCACTATTTGGAGATGCTGCAGTTTGAAAAGCCCTCTCCAAGTGTGCATTAGTAATCTGGATCAGGTCCACACCAGCTCTGCCAACCTCATTACTGCCAGGAAGGAAGCAGCTTCTCAAATGAAAGGAAGATAAATAAGCTTCTTTGTCATAGCAATTCCAGACAAAAATAGCTGAAATGTTATTTAATATGAAACAAATTACTGTAGAGGTTCTGAGCTTGTCATTTTAAGGAATCTGTGTCTAGGTACTTAAGTCTTCAAAAAAAAATTAAGATACAATATGCTGTGTATGGAGCAATTTCAAATGGCCCCTTTTTTGGTATAATACTTAATTTTACTTTCAATTTTTAATTATAGCTTATATTTGATGATAATTCTTATTTCCATTATTTGAATCTCCTTTTACCCATAGCTACTCAAACAGGATGGGGACATCTCTGGAGTTAACAAGACCAAGAAAATATTTTTGTTAAGATTAGTCTCTTTCTGCAAGCACTAAGCGGTAATAGATATTACCAAACATAAGCATAATCATGGCAAGAAAAACATCAATTTCATAATCATGAAACTCCAGGCAGGTGCAGTGGCCCACGCCTGTAATCCCAGCACTTTGGGAGGCTCAGGTGAGTGGATCAGTTGAGGTCAGGAGTTCGAGGCCATCCTGGCCAACATGGTGAAACCCTGCCTCTACTAAAAATACAAAAATTAGCCAGGCATGGTGGTGAGCACCTGTAATCCCAGCTACTCAGGAGGCTGAGGTGGGAGAATCACTTGAACCTGGGAGGTGGAGGTTGCAGCGAGCGGAGATCCTGCCACTGCACTCCAGCCTAGGCAACAGAGCGAGACTCTCTCTCAAAAAAAAAAAAAAGAAGAAGAAGAAGAAGAAGAAGAAAAGAAAAGAAATTCCAGTTACTTTTCTCCATCCTTGACTTATCTCATTTTTTTTCTTTGAAGTTCAAGTAACTCCTGTGTTTGCTACTTTGCACCTTGCATCGGAACTTCAGTTCTCCTTGTTGCAGTTGTTTTGTGTTGGGAAACCATGACATTAATGATGCTTGAAGGTATCTTCAGGGGTTTTTTGCTCCTGGGCTTTTCCTGATGTCCAGGAATGCCAGTTTGGGTGATTGTGGCTGGCAACACTAAAAAGGGATATGGGCCCTTCTTACTGAGGCCGTGAGACCTGACAGGTAGGTGATGTACAGGAACTCAACTACTAATCAAGAACTTAACTGATGGAAGCGACCTAGTCTCTGCTTTCTACTACCTTCTCTTTCTGAAATTGATGTTAAGGGACACCTGTACCCTCTCATTCTTGCTGCAAGGCTTGGCCAGACTCATCCTATTTCACATATATTCAGAAAGGTGAGCTGTTACTATTTGCAGATGGACTGAACTTAACTTCTGTATTTATGATGGCTTTGATTTTTTTCTTCCTACAGCAAACCTAAACTGTACTATATCTCTCTGTTTGTTCTTATAATAGCTTCCTAATAAGGGCCTATCTTCTTGTCTATATTATAAGTCCTCAGAAGACAGGGGCTTTGTCCTTCTTATTTCTAAGATGCTAGACATAGAGTAATTGGTCAGTGAAACCTTGCTGATTTAAATAATTCAAAGACCCAAAGTGAACTTTATAGAGGCAGGTTGGATAACACCCCGAAATATTTCTTACTCTATTATTGACTGTTCTTAGTGATTTATTAATTGTAAAAAAAATGAGCATGCTACTTGGAATTCTTTAGATTTGCATTTAAATTCCAAATCTATAATTTATCTGTGGTATGATCTACACTTCTTGAGTTTCAATTTCCTTGTCTTTCAGATGGGATAATGATGCCTCTTTTAGGAGATTTTCATAAGGATTAAACTAAGTGACATAAAACTGTTAAGCATTATATCTGTCATATACAAGATGAATTTCCACATCTTAACAATAAAAAGATCTGTTAATTATTTTTGTATTTCTTTGTTATATTTTAAATTAAAACTATTAATAACCATTATTTTTTAAATTATGCTTGTCTTTCTCAAGCACATTTAAATTTTATAAGCTTTTATTCTCTAAGTGGAAGCTAAATTTAGTCAATAGTTTTCTAAGAAAAGAGTTTTTGATCTATGGTAATACGTTAATATTAAATGTTTAAATTAAGTAACAAAGAAATATAATTATTACTTAACTGTTTGTCATAAGTTTACCTAGATTTACATTGCAAAAATTATTTTAACAAGAAATAAAATTATGGTCATTTTTGGTTTTATTCCTATATCAATATTTGTGTATATAACTACAAAATTTTCAGTTGAAACAGTCAAATAATCAATGCATTCTTTTTACATTGATTATTCTAGTGTATTAATTCTTACTTGTCTAATGCAATATATATTTATTCTAGTTTTGTATTGATTATATACTTCAATGCAAAAGAATTCTTGTGGTTCCCTTACGTTTAAATTCTCCAAGGTAGCATAGAAGGCCCATCACAATATTGCCCCATGCTGTTGCTGTCTTCAGATTCATCTTTCAACTCCATCCCACATTTAGTTTCTTCTTCAAGCACAATGGCACAATGAATTTCTTTATTTCTTTTTTTTTTTTTTTTAGGCAGAGTCTTGCTCTGTTGCCCAGGCTGGAGTGCAGTGGCACCATCTCGGCTCACTGCAACTTCTGCCTCCTGGGTTCAAGTGATTCTCCTGCCTCAGCCTCCTGAGTAGCTGGGATTACAGGCGCCCGCCACCACGCCCAGCTAATTTTTGTATTTTTAGTAAAGATGGGGTTTTACCATTTCGTCCAGGCTGGTCTTGAACTCCTGACCTCAGGTTATCTGCCAACCTCGGCCTCCTAAAATGCTGGGATTACAGTTGTGAGCCACCACGCCATGCCATGCACAAGGAATTTCAAGACATCCCCATTTACTGTGTCCCCTTATGTGTCTGTGCCTTTGCCGATTTCTTCCACATTCAATCTCTATCCTCCTTTCTCTATCTGCTGAATGATTTTTTCTTCAAGAACTAATTGAAATGTCACTTCCTCCACCCTCAGATAATTAGTTCCTTCCTCCTCTGCACTTCTACTGTATTCTTCTCATAAAATTATTATAAAATTTAGGTTATCTATAATTGATTTGTCTGCCTATCTATTAATATCTATCAGAAGCTTCTAGAGAAGAGACCATATCCTATTCATCATTGCTTCCCCATAGCCTGGCACAGTACCAACAAAAATATTGTGAATATGTCCAAGTAAATTTGTCTTTTTTTTTAAATGTGTGAGGTGTGGCATAAATGTTTTAATTCTCATTATTTAGATGATAATATGAGGTTAGGTTCCAAAATCACAGAGTAAATCAAAGCCCTAGCTGACATCAGAGAGCAGGCATCCTGACAACTGATGCACTGCCTTTTGCTCTCTACCAATGAATTTCACTCACATCTTCGTTTCATAGAAACACAACAGTTATATTTGTTTTTTTTTTTTTTTGGTTCCTTTTGTTTGTTTGTTTTTGTTTTTGTTTGTTTGTTTTTGAGACGGAGTCTTGCTCTGTAGCCTAGGCTGGAGTGCAGTGGCGCAATCTTGGCTCAGTGCAAGCTCTGCCTCCCGGGTTCAGCCATTCTCCTGCCTCAGCCTCCCGAATAACTGGGACTACAGTCACCCCCCGCCACGCCACACCCGGTTAATTTTTTTTGTATTTTTAGTAGAGACGGGGTTTCACCGTGTTAGCCAGAGTGGTTTCGATCTCCTGACCTCAAGATCCGCCCGCCTTGGCTTCCCAAAGTGCTGGGATTACAGGCGTGAGCCACAGCGCCTGACCTATATTTCTTTTTTAAAAGAAGATCACTATGGAATAAGTTTTCCTGTTCCACAAGGAGAAGAGATATCCTATGTCAGACAGGTATATCTTCGTAGGTGCAATCCAAGGAAATATTTGCCAAGACAACTATACATTTTTAGTGTAAATGGATTTTCATTTATACATATTATTTCTTTAAAAAACTTTAGGTACACTGTATACATGTGAAATTATACTTTATAATTGGCAGTAAGGAAACAGACACGTATAAAGTACACAATTTGGTAAGTTTTGACACATATATACCTCTATGAAACTATCAACACATCAAGATAATGAACATGTCCACAATCCCCGAAAATTTTCTCATGTCCATTTATAATCTGTCCTACATCTTTATAATCTATACTACCCTGTCCCCAAAATGACAGTGCTTGCATTGAAGTATTTTCTCTCTCTACCTATTATTTTGCTTTTTCTAGAGTTTTACATAAGTAGAATCATACAGTATGTACTCTTATTGTTTGGTTTGCCATTTTTCACTCAATTTAATTATTTTGAGACTCATATATTCTGTTACACATATCAACAATAATCCTTAAAGTCACTTCTTCCTCTAACCTGCTGAGATTTCAAGGAAGAGAAACCATATTTATCTGTTATCTTAAAATATCATTATATTTACTCACATTTATCATGTTACCCCAACTCTTCCTTATATTCTTAGGCCATCAGTCACATTTCTTTCATTGTATTGTCCTTTGAGATATAATCTTCTTTATTCAATCACATATCTTGGAAAGGAAGGATTTGAAAAGCTATCCTCAAGTATTTACAGAGGGAAAGTTATTTCTTGACTCGGTCAAATCCATATATCTTCTAATGTTCTGTCAGTGCTGCTCTCAGTTGATTGTATTACACAGCATTCAGTGGGGCCTTTGCAGACTTCCTTATTTTCTAATTGATCTCAATGTTTCTTCATTTTATCTGTAATGTAACCCTGTATCCTCTTTCTTCCCCTTATCTATCAACCCAGCAGAAAATTATCCCAAAATTCTCCAAACAAGTTCCCTCAAGTGGATTCTTCTCATCGTTACCACTCGTGATTCATATCTTCATTTCCTCGCATTATTTCTTCACAAATTAGTCCTCTGGTTGTGCCATAATACTGTCATTCATCCCTGTAACTTTCTTTTTTGTGCCTTTATTTTTCAGAGAAAGAAAGAATAGGATGCTACTGGTAGAATACATTCCTTTTTATCTGAAACGCCCTTTCTCTTTCAGTCCGATTTTTACCAACCATTTTTTCTAGAATCACTTTGAATTTCGTCTAAATCTTCTGAAATACATCCATTTTAAATCTATGCCTCTTTTCTATGTGTTCCCATAACAATTCATATGCACCCCTATTACACATTTTATGTCATTAATTTCGTGGTAGGATGAAGTTTGCATAAGACTATTTTCTTGTTTCTTGCAAGCTCTCAAATGACAGCTTTGAATCTGTGAAAATGCCTTGCCCTCATGGGATGGTCAATAAATATTATTTCAGCAGCTTCAGTGTAATTCTCCCTTCTCAAAGGAGATGTAAAAGCTTCCATGGTGACCTTCCCATCATCCCTATTCATGGACCAGTAGGTTTCTTTATAGTCAATTTCCTTCTTTTCCTCGCCATTTTTTTCTTCCTTTAAAGTTATAGTTAATTAATATATGAAGGTGGGGAAAAGGGGTGACAATGTAGTAAGAGGTGATTAAAGATTAAAAGTGGGCAGGGAGGTTGTCAGATTTAATAAAAATTCTTTTCCAGCAATTTCTCCCATCCTATACCTTGAAATTACATGAGGAGAAGCAATATTATTTCTTCTGTTTAATGGTATACTACTTTGATCTATTTTAAATTATCACCCATTATTAACACATCATTTTACAAATCCACCTCTGCATAGTCCCCAATACCTTTGTCCTGCTTGCAAAAAAAGAAAAAACAGTTAACTTTCCCCCAAAGTTAGGAAATAAAATTTAAAAAGTTTAATTTCTATAATACTTTAAAATGCATTCTATGGCTTGGAGTGATTCACCTAACTGTCCTGAATTCACATTTTTAAAAAGAGAACTGCTTGGGCAAGTCACTTCACCTTTTGGGGATTTCAATTCTTCACCTGAAAAATGAAGGGGTTTGAAGTAGATGATCTCTGAAGTTCCTTTTATCTTCAAGTCTCTATAAATCTGTGACTCTAAAATATGTGCCTTGCAGGAATCCTGCAAGAATTAATGCTTTTAAAATAATTTAAGACTCAAAGATGAAAGGTTTTATACTAGTGCCAAAAACTATTTTTATCAAGCGAAGCATGCCAGGGAAGTCTGTTGTGCCTGGGGATAGCTGCTGTCAGTGGCATCCCCAGCACTGCCTGTGCCCAACACAGCCCCAGATAGTAAAAGAGAATAAAAAGAATTCCACAGAGGGAGCCAGAAATCATAGTGAGTGGAGAGCACAGACATTCCTAAAATTCAAACAAGACCATGATACATGATAACATGATATACTGATAATATGTTCGTGCAAAAACTAGTGCTTACAGAGAAGTGTTCATGAAAGGATCTTGCCTTGGTGGCCTCACTGAGACCCATTCCCATGCTAGGGAAGGGGAGTTGGTGACATTCCTGTGTATCTGCTTGCACAGTGTATTCCCCATGACGTTTTATGCTAAACCTGTCCTGTCCTGACCCTTTCTGCCCTATCACAGCAAACCTGTTTGGTACCCCCATTTTGGCTACCTAAGTAACTAAAGTGATTATCCAATCATTGATTAAGATGTCAAGACCATTTATAAATTATTAATTTGATTTTTCTCATTTTGCCTGAGAGTAGTCAATGAGCTATCAAAAATTATAATTAATACATAGTTAGTCCAGGACTGAATACCAGGTCTATGGCTCATAACCAGTAGTTATTTCACCACAGCTTATTATCTTAATATTCTCTCATCTTAATACCTCTCAATACTGGCCGATGGATCCCCTAGCTGCATATTGACAAAATGCTTCAATGTTTAAATGCAAAATAAAAAATAGATAGTTTAGTATTTGGTAAGGCCAGTGGAGAAGATATTGTAAATTAACACTGCAAGAGCTGTTATGAATTCTTCCACACCATCTAGGGATAATAAAGGAACCATGGCTAATAGGCTTATCTCATCAGTGGATTCCTATTTTAATTTCTCCCTGGGTTTCATTTTCCAAATATGGAATGGGAAAATTAGAATTAAAACCACTGAACTCAGAGAATCATTTTTGTTCAGGGTAGATGAACCCCAACAAATTTAGGACAGAAGACAGATGTATGAAATATATTAGAGTAAGTTGTCTCGTGAAATTTTATCTAGGTCTTTATTGTGTGTGTGTATGTGTGTGTGTGTATGTGTGTGTGTGTATGTGTATGTGTGTACTCTTAATCTGGGCATCTTAGAAAATAGAATTTCTCGTGGTGGCTCATGCCTGTAATGCTAGCACTTTGGGAGCCCGAGGCAGGTGGATCATCAGAGGTCAGGAGTTCGAGACCAGCCTAGCCAACATGGCAAAACCCCGTCTCTACTAAAAATACAAAAAAAAATTAGCTGGGCATGGTGGCACGGGCCTTTAATCCCAGCTACTCAGGAGTCTAAGGCAGGAGACTCACTTGAACCCAGGAGTGGAGATTGCAGTGAGCCGAGATTGTGCCACTACACTCCATCCTGGGCAACAAAGCGAGACTCCATCCAAAAAAGAAAGAAAGAGAGAAAGAAAGAGGAAGGGAGGGAGGGAGGGAGGGAAGGAAGGAAAGAAAACAGAAAAGAAAAAGAAAGTATAATATCTGCTTCAATAGACCTTGGGTGTGGTCCAAAGTTCTGTACTCAGGTGATGCTGATGCTACCAGTCTGAGGACCACATATTAAATAGCAGTGCTCTACCTTTAGCATGCTTCAGAATTACCTGAAGAAATTCTAATTTTGCAGAGATTCTGATTCAGAAGGTCTGGGTGGGGCCTAAATATCTATCTAACAAGCTCCCATGTATTTGATTGAGGTCCATATTTTGAATACTACTACTATGAGCATTCCTTTTATAATTTCATTTTTATTCATTTTTATTATTTTATTATTATTTTTTATTATTATTACCTTTACTAGCCACTCAACAATGACAATAATTATGCTTTTTGTTTTAGGTTAAGAAGAGTAAAAGCCATAAAAAATTTAAAAGGTTAAAATGAGTGCCTAATGCATACTAACATATAATGATTTTTGTTAATCTGTATGTTTCCTCACATCAGTAATCCTAAATGATGATAATTTTGCCAAGGTTTACCTTGCTATTGGTGACCATCAACCCAGAAGTAGATGTAAGTTATCAGAAATTGCTTACTGTGAAATTTTCAAATAAAATTTTCAAATAAAATTTAATAGAAAAAGCGATTTCAGGTTCACACTTGTTTGTAAGTGTGAAACTGAAAACTTTGCCACAAATTAAAGTTGTAAAAAAATGGACTCTATTTAAATAATGTGGGAGCATGCTCTTTTAAAGGATGACTGAACGTGCTATTGTGACTTTACATCTGTCATGAATGAAGCAATCAAATCAAGACTGAAGTGAAACTGTTGATGAATATTACATGTGTCTTCTTTTAATGATTTGAACATTTATGGAGCCCAGCTGCCTACCAATGCGCATTCTACATTATGATGTATTGTCTGCATTATTGAATGGCCAGCCCCATGCACGGTGATTTCAGGGGATTCAGAAGCCCTTTATACCCTGGTTTTCTCGTGAAACAGTTATTTTACCCCTTCTGAGATTTTTTTTTCCAGCCTAGTGTAGAAAAAATCATAGGCTTTGGAATTAGGCAGGTCTCAGTTAAAATCCTGGCACAGATATTGACAGAATAACCTCTATGATTCTGCTGCAAAATGGCACCAAAAATATCTGCTTGACAGTGTTGTTGTGAGCATTAGAAACAATATAAGTTAACTATCCATTACTTAAGTAAAATGTTCGGCAGATAGCAGCTATTTACTATGGAGGGGCAATGTTTTCATAGGCTTCCCTGAGAATGACGTTCCCTCCAGACAAATCCAATGATCATGTAAAAATGACAAATGTTAATCTAAAAATATTGACACAATATATAGTAGATATGCAGTGACTATAATAATTGCATGCATTTCTGAATGCATATTTACTTAATATTTTTCATAATTAATTTTGGAATTTCTAACACTAAATGCATCACCTACTCTGAACTTTAAACAGACAATAATAAATTTGTATAACACTGTAGATTCTGAATTAACTGTATCAGATATTATGTTAAGAACTAATATATATTGCATAGTCTACATCTAGTGATAAGGACTGAAACTGGAGAAATAGTTCTGAGAAACTATATAGAACAGTGATGAACATTTAAAAATAAAATCAAATTGAGTCTTCAACTAAAAGAGACTTCTGAATCAAAGAAGGCAGATGGAAAATACGAAAGAAAGAAAAGAATAGAATTTTTAAAAGAGGCAAAGTAATTACAGGTAGTGCAGAATGTGGACAAATGGCAAGCCCTAATCATTAAGGTAGGCATAAGATGAGACACACATGGGACATAAAATTGTGATTCACAACTTTGGGAATAAGAATTTCAAATGCAATTGATAAATACATTGAATGCTTTCACAATGAATAGGTTTTGCTCAACTGGCTTTGTGAGATATCAAATACTATTTAAAGAGCTGATTAAGTGGATTGACGTTTAAGAACAAAAAACTACAAAATCATATACAAGATTGCAATTCAATAACGGGTCAATAAAGGTTAAAATTAAAACAATAATCTATACATTAGTTTTCAAAAGATTCATTGTTGGTCTCTAATCGTACATATCTGAATATGGTTATTAGTTGTCTTTACAATGACTATATGACTAAATGCATTAACATGTGTTAAGATTTTATTATCTATCACTAAAATCTGTTAAAACAAAAATTTCTGTGTGGTTATCGCTATTGTGATTCTTCTTTATCCCACAGAGACAGAATAACAGGATTTCAACCTATTCCACTACTTAATTTGTGATCATAATTTCCCAGAGTCTCAGAGTTCAATATTATGGAAAGTATTAAATAAAGAATACTTAGATTATTCCTAAAACCATGTCTGCTTTAGAATACAGACATGGTAAATTCTTCTGCTATCACTACTATTTAATTGCTATTAGTCTTTTGGAAATTTCTGCCCTTGCTGCTACTGATCTCACTCCATTATGGCACTGGTGTACCTCTGTCTTCAACATAGGAAAGCTTGCATCATAGTAATGATTACCCCCATTCCTATTTATTTATTTATTTGTTTTGAGATGGAGCTTCACTCTTGCTGCCTAGGCTGGAGTGCAATGGTGTGATTTTTGGCTCAATGCAACCTCCGCCTCCTGGGTTCAAGCGATTCTCTTGCCCCAGTCTCCTGAGTAACCTGCATTACAGGCGCCCGCCACCACACTCAGCTAATTTTTTGTATTTTTAGGAGAGACAGGGTTTTACCAGGTTGGCCAGGCTGGTCTCGAACTCCTGACCTCAGGTAATCCACCCGCCTCGGCCTCCCAGAGCGCTGGGATTACAGGAGTGAGCTACTGCACCTGGCCATCCCCCATTCCTTTAAACTAGAGATTTGGGCAAAGCTTATGTGACAGGAGAAAAGAGAGCTAATTCTGACTGTGTGAAACATGTAAATTTTCACTGCACTAAAACCACAGCGTTTTAGTTCATCGAATGCTTAATGGTATTCCTACAAGATTTGTCAGACTTAGCTGGATTTTTGCTGATTTTCATATCACAGCTTTTAAGAGATAAGTCACCTTCAATAACTTTCACATTTACACAATCATCCAAATTTAGGAGCATTCATTTTATGCACAGCTTTTGTTTGCTCTATTCCATAGTCGTCTTTAACACTATCAGTTGACAGTCATTAAACGGAGCCCAAAAGGTCAATTGCTTTTTATGAAGAAAGGAAATATTGTAAACTACAAATCACTTACCCATTTAAGAACTTAGGATTTTCATTAGATTTCCTTAAACCAAATCAACCTATTTGTTGAGCATCTAAATTATGTTAAGAGAGAAAAATTAATCAGTTCTGATTTAGGGGACCCACCCTTCCAAACGGGGCACACTAAAAGGCTGTCAAATGAGACCTCTAAAAAACACAAAGAATATTGCTTTGTGTTTTATCAGATCAACAAAACACTACATGCTACCTTATAAAACTTATGGGAAATGGCAAGGAATCTATGATCCTGAGTTCCCTTATTGATGGTCTTGTAACCTAGCATGCCCACTTAAAATTTTATTTTGATTTTTGAAATAAAATTATGGCTACAGTCTTACTTTACTGCAGCCAATTGGGTTATATATTTTTAAATAACATTAATATTCTTACTGATAAGTTAGTTGTTTTTATGTCAACATGTTCTGTATACTACATGATTTAACTAAAATCTAACTGCTTAAGGACCACCATATAATTGTTCCATTAAGACTAAATATACATAGATAAAATGACTGACCCTTGTCTTACTGGCCTAACTCAAAACTGAGAGCTGAAGGAAAGGAGAGTTCACACAACAGTAGGTTAATTCTTTTAGATAGGTATGACTTTTTCCATTTGCTTTGTCAGCTTCCTATTTAAAATAAATATGCAGGCTTTGAAGAACGATAATTCTGAATTTGAATCCAGGCTCTGCCATCTAGTGGTTATGAGACCTTAAGAAAGTTATTTATCCTCTTAGAGCTTCAATTAGTTTACCTAGAACCCTGTAACAATGATTACTGCCCACCTAGGACTATTTTGAAGATTAAATAAGACAATGTATGCAAGGGTCCTGTCTCTTAGTAAGGGCCCCATGAATGTAAATTAGTATAATTAACATCATTAATATTAACAGCATCATTATTACATTATAATTCCTTATTAGTAACTTATATTAGTAGACAATTTTGTTTATGAAATTTGTTATTTTATTGCTTAAAAGCATAAAGATATTAGTTATAGTCATAGAGGAAAAAACAACTACTAAATATAAGACTCAGAGTGTTGGAGCTGCTGAAAATACTGGATAGACTGAAGATACTGGATAGATCAGAAGAAACTGGACAGACCAGAGGAGAAAAAAACTGAAAGATGGTCACAAAGAGTTAACATTAAATCCATTTCACATTTTTCTGGGCTGAGGCTAGACCTGTCCTGAAACAAATGCCATGTCACATTACTGCACAGACAAAGACATAGGCATAGAAAAGAGGGGAGGATTGGTGGGTAGGTGATAGGAGTGGAATTGGCAGCAGTCTCTGTGTCTACCATGTCAGTGTTTTAAGTGCTAGGCTTCTCTAACTCTGCTGAAAGCCTACTTTGGAACAAACAGTTCCTTTATATTTAATATATAATTTTGAAAAAAATAGTAACTAAAGGCATTATTAACGTGAAAAGATTCTTATTCACCCATTTAGAAAAGAACAAGAATAACAAAAGTGGTAGGACAGATATTAACATTTGTGGGGTGATTAAAAAATACATAGCAACCATAGAGCCTCAAGGTGGAATTGTTTCATTTCTTTCTACATATTGGATGTTTTCCTTGATACACATACTCACTTTATAACTTTATAAGTCTGAGTCTTTTTCCCCCATGAAAATAAGAAAAGCTAAGGGGAAAAATGCAAACGCCACTTTTTATTTACATCATTCTACTGTCTCCTACTCATAGACACAAAATGTTTAGTTCATTTGTAAGCAGACTTGCTCTGAAAAATAAGTGAGTATATCTTCTCCTTTTTGCCTCCACAATCCCTGTTCTGCCCTGCTATTTTTCATTGATATATATTAGGGAAAAAAAAACAGAAATTGGTAATATTTCCTTGTATTTGAATTTTTTTGATTTTTTTTTTTGATGGATACTAGACTTTTATTAAAGAATATTCTTCTAGTGCAGGAGTCTGCCACCTACAGCCCAAAGGCCAGATTCAGACTGCTGCCTGTTTATTTATAAATAATGAACTAAGAATGGGGTCTTCTTCTTTAAATTGTCAAGGTAAGAATATAAGAAAAGAATAATAATTTTGTGCAAGTGAAAACTGTATGAAATGCAAGTGTTAGTGTCCATAATTAAACTTTTATTAGGACATAACGCTGCTCATTTGTTTACACATTGTCAGTGGCTGCTTTCACACCACTACATCAGAGTCGAGTATGTGACACAGACCATATTTTGCACTCTTATTGCTTTGCACTGCTCTTTGGTCCACTGTAAATCATAGTGACACAATTATAATTCTACAACATTTCGGATGCTGTGAATATTGCTGTACCACTTTTTTTTTTAATTATTGTTACAGGTCATGTCAAAACCAAAAAATATTAGACTCTGAACGTTGCAGTCTTATAGTACAATGGAGTGTGGATTCTTTCATTGTCAAATTAGATGAAAAAAAGTTTGTTTTTTAAGCAATGACACGATAGCTCAGCTAAAAGAATAAAATATTGCCATTACCAGACTAAGCACGCATCACATCCCTAACTCATAGATAAACAGCAATCTGAAAAAAATAGAAAATTGTAAATGGAATATCTTATCATGACAGAATTTCTTCAAAAAATGAAATACAAAAATGAGGCTGCAACTAAATTTCTCAGCAGCTCACTTATCAGCCAAGCAAGGAAATCCTTTTGCTGATGTTGTAGTATAAAATCATGAGTGATTGCAGCAACTAAAGAAATGCAGCTAGAGAAAGTAATTAGGACTGTCAACTTTCTGGCAAGAATAGTTTCTCAAAGAATTGAAAACACTGTGAGTATATCAATAGTCAGCTAAAAATGAAAAAGGCAAATGATCTTGAGAGGCTTTTCTTGGTTCTTGATGATCAACTCATGTTATCAATTCTAGTCAGTTGTTCCTTATTAGAGAAGTCAATGGCAAGTTTGAAGTGACTGGAAAATTAACCTCTATCAATATGCTTATATGTGAGAATGTTCTAAAAAAAGCCAAGAAAACACTAATTAAGCATGACCTGAAGTGGAATCTGCTAAGATGTGTTATAACTGATAGTGATAAAAATAAGTATGAAGCAGAAAATAACTTAATTTTTATAAATTTACAAAGCTTGTAAAAATGTAAGGTATTTAAACCCCTTGCTATGCATGTATTATTCATCAGCAGGTACTTTGCAGAAAATATTTGAATCCATTGTGTGCTATTGAACCATACCATCAACAGTAAATTTCCTTCACTCTTGCAGACTTAACTATCGGGTGACTGTGAGCTCAGGGCCCAGACTAATTTTTTTTTTTTTTAATGAGAAGTACTCTTGCTGGTTGGGTGGCTCACACCTGTAATCCCAGCACTTTGGGAGGCCGAGGCAGGGGGATAGCCTGAGCTCAGGAGTTTGTGACCAGCCTGGGCAACATGGTGAAACACCGTCTCTACTAAGATACAAAAAATCAGTCAGGTGTGGTGGCGTGCACCTGTAGTCTCAGCTACTCAGGAGGCTGAGACAGAAGAACAGCTTGAACCTGGGAGGTGGAGGTTGCAGTGAGCTGAGATCGTGCCACTGCATTCCGGCCTGAGTGACACTGGGAGACCAAGCGAGACTCTGTCTCAAAAAAAAAAAAAAAAGAAAGAAAGAAAAAAAGAAAAGTACTCTCAATCACTGTTATAAAACACTGAGCGGTTTTGAAATTAGATATTCCTGTAGAATTAAAAGTGTTTCTTAAAGAACATTAAGAAAAGCCAAATAGTGCTTATATGTGAAATGTATATTTCAGTAGTCATTTCCACAAAAACTGATATTGAGTCACAAATAATGTCAAATGTTCTATATGCATTGTGCTGCCAAACATTAGAACAATTAACTAGATGTACACTCTTCCACAAATTAGTAGTGAGCTAAACTACTCACTACTAAAATTTTCTGACCTAAAAATACAGTTACAGCAGCATTTTTGTGACTATGATGAAAGTGCAAAGGAATTTTCATATTTCAAAATCCATTTAACTGCAACTGTGGAGTTTCCATCTAACATTCAATTGGAAGTGATTAATCTGAAATGTAATCACATGTTAAAAGTCAAATATCAAGAGAAGTATCCAGTAGAATACAGAGATTCCTTTTATTTAAGATATAAACAAATCCAATTAAATCATATGCTTTGTAGATTGCTAACAGTAGTTGGCAATAGCTGTGTGAAAGAAATTTCATAGATGAAACACACAAAATTTCATTCCAGATCAACATTAAGAGATTAATATTTGCAATTAATTTTGATGGTTGAGAACGCTAAATTCGAACCCCATATAGGAGGTTTTTTTTTTAATCACTGCTATAGCAAATTACCACAGACTTAGTGGCTTACAACTCCCATTTATTATCTCACAGATATTTAGCTCAAAAGTCTGAGTATAATGTGGCTTAACTGAGTCCTCTGCTTAGAAATCTCTTGAGACGAAAATCAAGGTATTAACATAGCTGTGTTTCTTTCTGGAGACGCTGGGGACAATTCTACTTCTAAATTCATTCAGATTTTAAACAAATTTGATTTCTTGTGGTTGTATAACTGAGGCCCCCATTTCTTTGCTGACTGTCAGCCAGGGGCTAATCTTAGCTCTTAGATACTCCAGACACATTCTTTTTCATGCTTTCCATGTGGCCCTTCCACCTCTGGCAGGTTAAGTGCCTCTCATGCTTCTAATCTCTCTAACTTATTTTGCTGCATCTCTCTGACTCCAGCTTCAGAAAGTTCTCTGTCTCAAAGTGCCCACCTGAATAATTCTGGTAAATCTTCCATTTTAACCCCCATAATCCTAATTATATCTGCAATGTCCCTTTTGTTATAGAACATAGTCAAAGGCTACAAGGATTAGGATGTAGACATATATCTAGGGCCATTATTCTGCCTACCATATCCAACTAAGCAAATGTGATTACCCAAAAAGAATTCCATTCTTCTTCTTAGTAGAACTATGTTACAAAAATTATACTCTATTATTACTATTGTATTTTGTTAATTAAATTATACTCTACTATTACTATCTGTTTTGTTAAGTAAAATATATGAGAATTTGTTTTTCTCTTGTTATATAGTTACCCATATAATATTCTCTATTTTGCCTTTTAGCCCATAAGCCTAAAATATCTAGCCCTTTACAGAAAAAGCTTGCCAATACCCTATCTAGTGAAAAAGTATAAATATGTATATATGAATATATATTAAAATATATATATATGCAGACTTTCTGGAAGAAAGTTTAAAAATATTTTTCCAAAACTGAAAAAACAAAAACAAAAAATACTGTGCAAATATGCCGGTAATTATATTACTTTTTTTTCCCCTGGGTAACTATTTATATGCTTATATTTAGTAACAGTTTTATATTAAATGATGTTTATTTAGCATTATTTAAAAAGGCAGAAATATGGAACTAAGCCAAACATGTACCAATAAGATGGTTAAATAAATGAGAGTAAATCTGTTCTGCACTAAATTATATCAAAATAAATATAAATAATTATTTCGTATACCATTCGTTATATACATTTCAGTGTTTTTAATAATGTCAATTTCTTATATTTTAAGGAGAACTCTAGTTATTTTTATAAATCTAATTGACTTAATTTTGTGGGAATATAAAAGAAGTGATTAAAAACCTTTGGTTTAAAGTAGTTAATCCTGAAATCAAGCTCTGTAAATATTGTGTAGGGATATGGAGAAATCCTCAAAAAGAAAGAGCTAAAGAAAATGGCAGGGATGGCATCTTGGGAGTATAACTGAAAGTAGGAAGATGTGGATAGAAGAGTCTTATTTTTAATCACAGGGCATATGTGCTATTTGAATTATTTTGACAAAAGTATAAAAATATGGAATTATGCATTGTGTGTGTGTGTGGTTTCATCTGTTTAAGAAATATGTGATGGAGACTGTCCTATCATCAGGAAATTATTCCAGTTCACAGATCAGAAATGACTGAGGAATTGAGAGTACAGCTAATTACTAAGGTTGCTTCTTTTGACCAAATAGGCCAGAGCTTGAATAAAAGAAACATGGATTGAATGAATTTTTATAAGACCTAAGAAGAAAGTTTCATAAGCCACATTTTTTCTTTTGACTCCCCTGTTCTGATGTCTTCCTTCTTCATTCATTTCCTGACTCCTGAACTCTGCTGGCTACAGAAGAAAATCTTAAGCCAAGCTGTTTTTCCTGTGGCATATTTGACATAGGCATTGGAATATTTCCCCTGGATTCATGAATAGGCAAGGTAGGAGAAAGTCAAGAAATAGACAGTTATTCTTAAAAAGGACATATCCAAAATAGGCCAAGAACACAGAAAATTTTTCCACTCAACAGCCTGAATATCAGAATGAACAGGGCCTTTGGGTGGGCAGGCCTGATTTTAAATTTCAGTAACTCCTAAACCCTGGACCTCAGTCCTAGCACCTGTAATAATGGATAGCAATTTCTATGCCACAGTTTTCTTTAGTAATGAATTAGACAATAAATACAAAGTAAATAGCCTACTGTTTAGCATAGAGTAAACATTCAACATAGCTAAGTTTCTCTGCTGACTATCATAAATTTTTCACACACAACTATATCCTTCTTAATGCCTACAATCCTACAAATAATAGCAAAACATATCTATATACACTTATAGCTATTAAATATAGGTAAAATAATTTCACTCTCAAGCAATTATGTACTTCCTTTGATGTCAGATAAGCACTTTGAAGGCAAGAAGCACATTTAATAATTATTTTATAACTTTATATAATATGCATACTAATTCTATTAATATATTTGAATAAATATATTTGTTATTTCACTTAATCCTCACGCTAGTCTAAGAGGTGTGAGCTTTTATTATCCCACTTTACAGATGAGGAGGCTAAAGTTTAGAGTGGTTAAATAATCTGACCAAGGTAACACCACTAGAAGGTGGCAGAAGATGGATTTGAGAGATTTGAACCTAGATTTGTTTGTATCCAGAGTCTATATATCTACCATGCTGTATTGCCATTATTCCTAAAACAGAGCAGAAATGTCAGTCTTGCTGTTTTTACACTTATTTTTCAAGTGAATTCAGGAGGTATGCTGCCCGCTTTTAATGTACACATCCACATTTAATCTATCACCAAATTACATCTATTTTCACTTGTAAGTAGCTCTCAAATTTTTTCATTTCACACCATCCTTGTGCTATTACCTTCATAGGTAGGGTTTTGTACATAGGAGGGTTTTGTACATTTTGGTTATTCAGTAACTCTTTGGTGAGTGCATTGAATAAACGTGGTTTCCATGCCTCTTTATATTTTTGTACTTGCCCACCTTGCCTTTGTCTTTTGCTACTTCTGCCCCTGCATTTACACTTCAGCCATAATGAACTTTGTTTAGATCCTGAAGATCACCAAAAACAGAAACAAGTATCAGAAACATACAATGCTAAAAACAAGAAAGGTAAGCCCCAGACAATCCATTAATACCGGGAGAGCTGAGGCTGGTGGCAGGGCAGCTAGGAGGGCCAAACAAAGAGGTACTTGGGAACAAAAGGAGAATGTACACAAGGCAAACAGGAATTGAGACCCACATCATCAGCCACAAAGATCACGCCTCAAGATTGAAGTTAGCCTGTTGTGTCTTATCCTTAGTGACATTTATACTTCTTTTATCTTCCGTAGTTCTCATCCATACTTCTCTGACACTGGGAAAGCTATTCTAGAATAAATTAAGTAGCTATTATGTGATTATGTGTCAGGCATTTGCTAGAAATTAGAGTACAACTCTAGAGAGCATTAGGAATTCCCCCCAGGAAGCCTACAGTCTATGTAGGAAGTAGGCATGGATTACCTCAATACAATAGAATAAAGACTACACTAAATTTTACAGCTGCTCAGCAAAGAAGGGGCACTTTGCCAAAGATGAGGTCTCACAGAAAGACGTTTCATCACAGTTTCTATAAATGCCTATTGATTTTGCCTATGTCAACAAGATAACTAAATCCCCAGACAGTCTATATGTTTTCTGGAGATGTGTCAGTATATGTGGCATGTGAACAGTCATATAAAACTTGGATATGTACTCATTTTGTTTACATTGCTTTTTTTTAGCTAAAAGGCTGAATATTTGCCAAGGTCATAGTAGAATTCTTCACTTTGTTTGACAGGCTGAAGACTAAATTTTTGAATGTCAAACATAGTCTGAGTTTTTTATCTAACATCATTTCACTTATATTTTCTGAGGAAATTTGTTTTTTCCAGCAAGAAATCTCTATTTGAAACAAAGTCATCTGCTGATTCTGCTACACCAGCAGTTAGGCTCTTCTATTTCTTTCCTCTCAATTTCTACATCAGTCTGAAGGGCAAAAAAAAAAAAAAAAAAAAAAAAAAAAATCATCATAAGGGGCAGGGTTTTGAATTGTATAAGAGCAACTAGTTCTTTCCTATAATAATCCCAAATTGGCTATAAATTCTACCCAAATCTCTTCACCAATATACTATAATATTGAATGGGAAGTTATTCAGAAATCACAGTTTCAGCTCCTAGGAGCAGTGGTATATGAAGGGTTGCCATGGAGGTGGAGAGGTGGAAGCACTCCACCCCAGGTATAGGCAATAATAGCACTGGCTGTAGGAAATTTAAAGAAATAATAAAATAGACTAAACACTGGTCTGCTTTTTATTGTCACAAGGTATTTTCATTCTAAACAATGTCAGGGGTCAAACACTCCGCCCTACTAGATTAGAACACTCTCTCTGTGCCAAACCCTCCCTACAAAGTCCCCTTCTCACTGCCTTTTTCTCCTCTGCCCTACTTGGCCAGGGATGCTGTTACCAGAAGTAGGGAATACTGTACTCTTCTATTGTTGTTTTCTTTACAGTGATATGAATGTTGATATTTGATAATGTAATGATAAATACAGAGCCCATTAAGTGGCAACATCCCAGTTGGTTTCCCATTAGATGCCTCTTTAATGGTGAGTGTGATGCCCACTTTTGCTCAAGAAAAGGCTTCATAAAATTCTTTAATTTGTCAAACTCTGATGGGAGAATTGTCAGGGAACGGGATTCATTTTCATGGTTACGACTATGCAAGGTAATTAATGAGAAACTCATCCTTAATAAGCAGGTTTCTCTCTGGGTACAGTAACATCACCAAAACCTCAGTTTGGTAACCAACAACCCAATTTGAATGTAAGCATACACTTTTGGGAAAATATGCAATTTCTTTTTTTTTTTTTTTTTTGTGATGGAATTTCGCTCTGTTGCCCAGGCTGGAGTGCAGTGGCGCGATCTCGACTCACTGCAAGCTCCGCCTCCCGGGTTCACGCCATTCTCCTGCCTCAGCCTCCCAGTAGCTGGGACTACAGGCGCCCGGCACCACGCCCGGCTAATTTTTTGTATTTTTTAGTAGAGACGGGGTTTCACCGTGTTAGCCACGATGGTCTCGATATCCTAACCTCGTGATCCGCCCGCCTCCGCCTCCCAAAGTGCTGGCATTACAGGCATGAGCCACCGCGCCCGGCCAAAATATGCAATTTCATAACAAACATTAAGAGAGAAATATATTCTGGTTCTTCCAGAAGAAAGAGATACATTTTTAGAGTACTTTGAAGAAGGCCTTGTTAAAAACATTTCAGAAAAAAAAGAGTTTCTGCTGAGAGAAAGGTAAAAAAGGAAGAAGAAAATGAAAAAAGGAAGGAAGAAAAAAATGTAGAAAATCCTTCAGTTATGTTATAGATTAAAACTGACCAACTTATATTACTATTGGATTTAAGAAGAGAATAAATCTAAAAATGCTTTTAAAAATTTGTTGTACTTCTTCCCAAATTAGAAAATGTTTATTTAAATGACTAAAAATTGAATGTGCACAAAGCAGCATGTCATCTTTGTGCATTGATCCAATAAGACTCTGCACCATACTATAATTTGGCAGGCAGTATTTAATCTTCAGTCCAGCTATTCCTCTGTGGCCACAATATTCCAAGTATTTTTACAGTTTCCATCTTTTTCCAGACCAATGCCAAAGCTTGTGTTCTTGAGTGGTGGGCCACTCCCAATCTTCAATGGCTCTCTGTTTGGTATTGTGCAAATACATGAATCACCAGGGAAGACAGACTGAGACTTGAGTAGGGAATCAGAGGCTGCTCTTTTTTAAGATGTGGCAAACCTAGCAAAGGAATCCCAGGAAATCAAAGTCTAGAATATCATAAAATCACAGCTGGAGAAAATTTAATCATCACCTAGTTAAATTCTATTACAGGCACACTTCATATTATTGCACTTCACTTTATTGTGCTTTGCAGATATTGTGTTTTTTTTCTCCTACAAACCTTCAATTTGTAGGAACCCTGCATTGAACGAGTTTATTGGTGTCACTTTTTTAACAGCATGTGCTCACTTTGTGTCTAGATATCACATTTCAAACTTTTAAATTAATATTATATCTGTTAAGATGATCTGTGATCAGTGGTCTTTGATGGTACTATTGTAATTGTTTTGGGGTGCCTTAAACTGCACCCATACAAGATTGCAAACTTAAATTACTGTGTGTGTTCTGAATGCTCCACCAACCAGCAGCTCCTTCATCTCTCTCTCTCTCATCAAGTCTGCCTATTCCCCTGAGATACAACAATATTGAAATTAGGCCAATTAATAACCCTAAATGGCCTCTAAGTATTCAAGAATGTGAAAGGAAGAGTTGAACATTTCTCACTTTAAATCAAAAGCTAGAAATGATTAAGCTTAGTTTGAAAGGCATGTCAAAAGTTGAGACAGTCTGGAAGCTAGGCTGAGAGAAGTAAAGATGCTTCAGATAAAAACCTTGAAGCTAGCAGAGGTTGTTTCATGAGGTTGAAGGAAAGAAGTCATCTCCACAAAAATGCAAAGTGAATCAGCAAGTGCTAATAAAAAAGCTGTAGTAAGTTATCCAAAGATCTACCTAAGATAATGAATGCAAGTGGATACACTAAACAACAACTTTTCAATGTAGACAAAGCAGCTTTATACTAGAAGAAGATGCCATGTAAGCTAGAGAGGAGAAGTCAATGTCCTGCTTCAAAGGACAGGCGGACTCTCTTATAAGGAGCAGATATGTCTGGTGCCACATTGATCATTCCCAAAATCCTAGGGCCCTTAAGAATTATGCTAAATCTATTCCACCTGTGCTAAACAAATGAAACAACAAAGCCTGGATAAGAGCACATCTGTTTACAGTACACTTTACTGAATATTTTAAGTCAGCTGTTGAGACCTATCACTTAGAAAAAGAGTCCTTTCAAAATATTACTGCTCACTTGTTAAAGCAGACTAAATATGGCCTGAGTAGGGCTACATACTTCTATATTTGAGTCCTTGTGGATGAACTGTAACCTAGCTTAATAGTCAGACAAAATTGAAAACCTAACTTAATAGTATGCGCCCATAACAATAGCTGAGCGTTGGGCAATCCCAGCAGCCATACTTCAACCACTCATAGACTGCTGAGTGTTAAAACTGCACTCAAATAAGGCTAACGCAGAGCTGTAGCAAATCTTGCTGTTTCTGTACATAACTTTACCTTTTTTCTCCATAAATTCATTCCGAGCACAAGGCATCCCTGGAATATCTGTGAATCTGCCGTGATTCTGAGGGCAGCCTAATTCATGAATCATTAATTGCTCAATTAAACTCCTTTACATTTAATTTGGAGTAAGTTTTTCTTTTATCACATTGAAAATGCACCTGGTTACCCACCAGCTCTGATGGAGTCATACAAGAAGATGGTCATTGTTTTCATGCCTGCTAATACATCATCCATTCTTCAGTCCAGGAATCAAGAAGTAATTTCAACCCTCAAGTCTTATTATTTAAGAAATAAATTTTGTAAGGCCCTTAGCTGCCATAGATACTGATTCCTCTGATGAATCTGGGCAAAGTAAACTGAAAACCTTCTGAAAAGAATTCACCATTCTGGATGCCATTAGAACATTTATGATTTATGACAGAAGGGCAAAATATCATCATCAATAGGAGTTTGGAGGAAGTTGATTCCAACCCTTATGGATAACTTTGAGGAATTTAAGACTTCAGTGGAGAAAGCAACAGCAGATGTGGTAGAAATAGCAAAATAGTTAGAATTAGAAGTGAAGTCTGAAGATGAGACTGAATTGCTGCAATTTCAAAATAAAATTTTAATGGATGAAGAGTTGTTTCCTATAGATGAGCAAAGAAAGTGGTTTATTGAGATGGCATCTACTGGTGAAAGTGCTGTGAATATAGTTGAAGTGACAACAAAATACTTAGAACATTACATAAATTTAGTTGATAAAGTAGCACAGGGTTTGAGAGGAATGACTCCAATCTTGAAAGAAGTTCCGCAGTGGGTGAAATGCGATCAAACAACATTTCATGCTACAGAGAAATCTTTCATGAAAGGAAAAGTCAAGAGATGTGGCAAACGTCATTGTTGTCTTATTTTAAGAAATTTCCACAACCACTCTAACCTTCAGCAACCATCACCCTGAGCAGTCAGCTGCCATCAACATCAAGGCACGACCTTCCACCAGCAAAAAGATTACAACTTGCTGAAATATTAAATGACCATTAGCATTTTCAGCAATAAAGGATTTCTTAATTAAGCTATGTACATTTTTAGATGTAATGCTATTGACAACTAACAGGCTATGGTATGGCATAAAGATAATTTTTATATGCACTGGGAAACCAAAAAATTTGTGTGACTTGCTTTATTGCAATAGTTGCTTTATTGTGATGGTCTGGAAATGAACCTGCAATTTTTCTGAGATACAAAATATTAACTGTACTTTGTTTTGGTTTGTACATATGAATCTAAGGTTTATTGACATGGAATGATTTGACCAAGGTGATATAGTGGTTAAGCAGTTAAGTGATTAAACTAACTAGTACAAAAAAAAAAAAAAAACCCACAAAACTTGATTGTCTGAAATCTTCTCCAGAACTTTAACTACTTTCCACCATAGAAAAATACTACCTCTGGGGAAAATTCCATACTTATGATTCATTTATAAATGGGACAAAAGTGAGTGTCTACAGGCTTTCTTTTTACACTGTTAAACATATAGTTGGATATTTTACCATTAGAATAAGAATGGTGTTTATCATAGGCTTTAAGCAAACAACATGCAACAACATAACAAGACTGAACCCATGAGTCATCTTTGATGTACCCTCTTAAATAGGATGAATTTTAGGTCATCAATTAATGCAAATTCTATCTAAACTTCTTATTACTTTAAGAAAAGATGCTTGCATGGACTCCTTACATCACTGAGTTTCATCTCAAAGATATAGTGAATAGAGATAGAAGATTTTCCAGGTGAATAATATATATGCTTATATTCTATTTAAATAAAGATAATTTAAATAAAGATATGCTTATATCCTATTTAAATAAAGATAATTTTTAAAAATATCAGATATTATTGGGCTTCCTTCCTGTACCATTATAAAGCTTTTTAACATAAATGAATTAAAAATCAGTAAGTCAATTCATTTGAACAGATTACAGTTCTATTTTCCATTTAGAAAGCAGTCTCCAGAAGCAAATTTGCTTCATACAGAAAAACTCAGCATCAAGGTTAGTGTTAGCTGCCCAAGACCCAAACATCCCCAACATCTTATCATGCTTCTTCCTAAAGAAACTGGTTTAAAACAAAACAAAACAAAACAAAACAAACTCTGCATAAACTCCCCCGTGACAATGTGCTCAGAGAGGAGGCTGGCCCCATTCCCAGCACCAGTGTGAGTCCAGATTGGCTTCAGCCAATTACCACATTATCATTCCTCTCACCAGTGATTGATTTAGACATGGGCATGGGAAATGAGACTTAAGAGGAAATCTACTGGAGGCCTTCTGGGAAAAGCTTCTTCACTCTTACAAGACACAATTGCTGAGGCAGCTTCTTCCTTGGGATCTTGTCTGTCTGCGTGTGTTGCCTGTGGAGCAAGCATGAGCACAGAGCTCAAGCTGTGGGCATGGGCAAGGCCGAGAGGAAAATGACCTGGGTTCTTAATTACACTCTTGAGTCTCTAAATTAACCAGCTCTATAACTACTGTTCTTGTGGACATCTTGTTATGTGAGATAAGAAATGTCCTTATTATTCAAGCCAGTTACAGCTGCAGACAACCAAAATGCTAAAGACCAAAATTGCCTCTAAAATGTAAAACGTTATATCTCGGATACGCCCTTCTGCATACAAGAGGCCTGAGCCAAGCGATGAGGCTAATCCCTGGCAAACTCCTTAAACCCGTCACAGAAGAAGGTCAAAGAGCATCTTCTTAAAACCCACAAGCCAGCATTCCTTGAGATGGCAGTGGCAGAAAAAGTCTGATGTAAAATGACAAAAGGGGGTCAGATGATAGCCCTGAACTTATAATCAGGACTGAAGGTGAACAGGGCAAAGAATCCAGAAAGAGGGTGAGTTTGCTGCCTGATCATCAAGCTCATCTGCTCTTCTCCCTTGGCACAAAGTTAAACTGCATTTTTTTCAGCCTCCCTGGAGGTTAAGTGCAAATCAGAGAGATGCATGAAAAAGTGATGTTTCTCATGCATTTCAGAAGAAACCATCAAAACCTCCCAGGTGTGCTTCTTCCGGCTCTTTTCCCATTTGCAACTCTGCAACTCATAGGCTAGGAAATGACCTCAGGAAGGACTTTGAAGTCATCAGCGGAAGGTGGATGAATGACTTTGTGGAATCCAGGCCTGAGCTTGATTCCTTTCCTGGATGACCAGAAATATCCACAAGGGACTGCTAACCTTGAACAAGATAAAACTTTGTTTTATTCCACTGAGCTTTGGAGGCTTAGCATGTTAGAATGGTTAGAATTGGTAGTATTAGAGCATAAATTAATGTGGCAAACTTACTGAGTTTTTGTGAATACTGCTATGAGTGAATTGAGCAAGTGAATAAATGTAATCTATATTTATGAACAAACAGGACCAAATAATTAGGTGTCTTATTTAAAACATCTAGGAAGTAAATTATGGAATTGGCCTAGAACTCAGCTATTCTGTGTCCAAGTCCAGTTTTCTCTGGTGTCTCATCCTGCAAAAGTACAAGCTAATAAGTCCCAACTTGATTCTAAGTCTTGAAAACTCATACTGACAAAGATATATCAGAAAACATGAATTCTGTTTGAACTAAAGAACCAATTAATGTGTTGTTACTAATTGGTCCCTAAATGCACCACTTTCAGCTTTATATTAAGCCCTATTTTAAATCAGATTTGCAATAATTACCATGTGATTGATATCCACTGATGTTTTAGTGAAAATTAACCTTCTGTGGGCTAATCTGGAATATTGCTAACATTTCCCTTCTTTTTATCATATAACTTATCTTTCTAATGAATCCCTAATAGTATTTGGCATTGACTTTTAACAGTATAAAAATTGAGCAACCATGCTTTTCTTCCTTATTTTAAATTATTTTTCTTATTAAAAATATATATTTTTGTTATAGAAAAACAATTTTTAAATCACTGATAGACCCAGACTTTTCACTGTAGAAATGGGAGGTTGCAGGAAAACAAGGGAAAGGGGCTACAATAATCTATGTAGCAATAGATGAGAGTTGGAGTCATAAATATAAACTCATAGTTGGCTTAATATAGATGCAGATAGTTATATAAAAACCATTACAGATACACAACACACACACACAGATATAGATAAGTATACATCCATGTAATGTCATTGCTCTGTCAGGGATTAGAAGCAATGATAACTCAGTAACAACCAGCATATCTGGCACCCAGATCTTTGTTTGTAGTACCATTCTCCAATAAAACAAAGGCTGCTTGGAGAAGTGGCTGATTCTAGGACTGGGATAGGACAGATACACAAGATGAGCCTGCAGCATTTTGTAGTACCAGGAAGTAGTAATACTCCTAGAAAAGAAGAAAATACCCCACAGTAATGGAATATCACAGAGACACAGGAGGCAACTGAAAGAATTCCTTTCAGTGGCCAAAGCTGGAAAAATTTAAGCAAGAAAGTATTTTCAAATTATAGCCCAAAGTAGAAAAGAAATATCCAGAAATATCCATGAGTCCATGCCAATATAAATAAAAGACTGGCTGGATGAATGAATGAATAAATAGAGAAAATAGACAAATATCTTGTGCACAAGATTTGCAAATTACGGACTCCAACCTTAAGGAGGAAGGAGGTAGAGCCTAACTCTCCACTCCTTAAGTGTAAGCTGCACATAGTGACTTCTGTCCAAAAAAACACAGTACAGAGGATAGTAAAAAGATTAACTTTACAGTGGAGAAACCTGAAAAATGCCACTTCAGTTGAGTGATCAAGGTTCACATCAACAGTGATAAGTCACTTTGAAAGAATGCACCCTCGATATTATGTGATGAAAATGGCACTTTACCTTTCTGTTCTTCGTCCCAAAAATCTCCTAGCCCCAGACTAATCATGAGAAAAACATCAGACAATTCCCAATTGAGGAATATTCCACCAAATATCTGACCAATACTTCTCAAAACTGTCAAGCTCATCAAAAGCAGGGAAAGCCTGAGAAACTGTCATAGCCTAAAGGGTCTTAAAGAGACAAGACAATGAAAAGCAATGTGGTATCCAGGATAGGATCCTGGAACAGAAAAATAACATGAGGTAAAAAGTAAGGAAAAGTAAATAAAGTATGAACTCATAATAATAATGTATTAATATTGATTCTTTAATTTCAAAAATTTACCAAACTAATGTAAGATATTAATAATAGGAGAAACTGAGCATAGGTTATAAGGAAATGTTCTACACTATCTGCCAATTTCCTTTCATTTAAAGCTATTCTAAAATTAGCAAATGCATTATTTTATAAGTTCACCCACAATCCCATCATCTAGCAATAAACGGAAACATTCTAATGCATCTTTCATCTTTTTTCTATGTGTATATTTTTTATTTTGCAAAATGGTTTCATATTGCACCTAATTCTTCAGTTAACATTCAGTGAATGTATTTCCATGCCATTATAATTCTACAACATGATTTACATTTATGTCAGAGTGGTTCATCTCAGGTATATACCATACATTATTTAGTCAATTATACATTGGTATCTTTATTCTTCCCTAATTCTATTAAATTTATTGAAGAAGGAAGTGTGGGAAATGAAGCGAATAAGAAAAAAGACAATAACACTGACATATTTGTTTGTTGTGAGAAGAGAGTACGCTGCCTGATGCTACCGAAGGAAATGAAATGGGCTGAGAAGCAAGATAGCCAGAGACCAGTCTCAGCTTTACAGAGAACTCTGAGGGTGGCCTTGAAGTCACTTAATCTCTGTCATTTCTAGTGTCCTTACTTATAAAATGGACTTGATAAGTTATGCAACAATGTCCATTTCTAAAATCTATTACTGCATATTTTGCATAAAGGCTATTAAAAAATTTAACGTAGAGGATATAGCCAAGTATATTTAATGTAATAACGAAGGTATAGAAAATGGACGATAGATACATTTCCTCTCTGCTGTATAGCCAAAACTTTCCCATCATGTGTCACTAATGGAATACATTATATAAAGTGAGAAAAAGATCTGACAGTGGCATGCAAAAGTGACTCCACTGAAGGAGAGGAAAGACTAGTCTATGAATGTGGCAAAGAGATTGAGTTTGACTGAATACAAGAAAAGGCAGTGTAACAATAGAATGGGCTTCCTAGAAAAATTTGTGAATTTGGGAATGTTGTAGCATGGGCCAGATGGAGAACTACCAGAGATAATATAGAAGCTATTCCTGCACTCAGTAGAAATTCAAACAGAATGGCCGCCAAGGTCACTTTCAATTTAGAAAGGGCGGAATTTTTATTTAATCTTATATATGACACCTTCTTCTAGACACTTTTCCTTAAGCATTGTCGCTGTTTCTGAGCTCTCTGCTGTGTCATTGGTCTCTTAACTGAAGAATCAATTCCAGTAGAAAAAAATAAAAGGTATATATTATGACAAGGAGTCCTTTAGCTTGTTTGTATGCATAGATGGTTCCCTTTCTAAGTATCTAATTAAAAATGGGCACTTTCACTGTTATTAAGAAATTGTGCACAGAACATCTCTTGAAACTCAATCTTTTCTATGAAGTCATTCCAAAAAGAACAGAAACTTTGGAAAGCAAATCTCCAGTTCACAATCACACTTTAGAGTTTGCCCTAAAAAATTCATATATATATATACACACACACACACACACACACACACACACACAAACACACACTTATTAATATTAGTTTTTGAAGTTGACCTGATCTGAAGCTGAGATCCTCATCTTCACACTTTTGGGTGCTGAAGGAGGAATTGTATCTGGTGGGGGTTTTCTTTCTTATACAGTGAAGGAGGTTCACTGTTTTTTACAAGTGACTCCAATAGGTTTCCCTCTACCCACCCGACTCTCTTTTTTTTCAGGCAAAACTACCTGGTGTGTCTGGAAGTGTCTGTTTCTGGAATTCCACTCACAGGGGAAAATTAGCCTGAACCAGATGGCTTGAAACAGTCCTCATGGGTGAGGGGTGGAAGGAGACACTGGAAAAGGGGACTGAAATCAGCTTTAGGAACTTTCTGTCCTTTAATCTCAAGAATACAGAAAGTGAATGTAACATGTTATGAGAAACCTCATATTGCCTGTAGATCTTCACTTTCAATACACACACACGCACACGCACACGCACACAGGCTACTGCTATTGGCAAATGCCTCCTCTCCAGCCATCAGAGGAAAGAAGCTATCCAGACGGTCCCAACGCACCAGGGATAGATGGAGTCTCCGCAGCCCTCAGCTGCAGCGGACTGGTCTGTGGAATCACAGCGAGGAAGGTGTTGCGAGGAAATCCCTTGCATGCTGTGTGGTGTGTTAAAAATGCAGCATCATCCTCTCTGCTCCTTTTCTTCGCTGAAAAGCAGAATTCGAGGGCACAGGGAAACTGGAGGGGCGAGAAGGCTGTCTCCTGGAGCCCTGGGGCTGTCTCCCTCCATGCCCCACTCCTTGGGCTCTAATTGCCCTTGCTCCAATGGGCCAGCAGCACCTTCACCATTTATTTCCTCTTCAATTCACTCCAGCGGGGAGGGAAGAGGGAACACAAAACTCTAAAAATAACTGTCAGCATCTTAAAAAAAGAAAAAAGCTTATCTGCCCCCCCACCCCCAACGTGCTCCCGCCCTTCTCCCTCCTCTCCCCCCCTCAGCCCCCCCCCCCTTTATGGGGCACATGTCTGCTTCTTACAACACCGAGGCACATGGTTCCAGTTAGGCACCGAACCCCACCAAGACAGAGAGGAAATCCACATCTGTGGGACGCTCCACACGGAACCACCTCCAGCGAGGGAGGCCAGGGGACTGCAGCACCGAGATGAAGGGCTAGACCGAGGGAACGCTGCTCATGCGGTGAGAGCCAGCGCGGGAGGCGGCGAGGGCGCGGGGAGACCGGGGAGGGGGTGGGCCCCGCGGCGCCCGCCGCCCGCCCCCACGCGCGCTGTCGGTATTTGCCCGCCTTGCTGCAACTTGCTGCAGTGTTTGAAAGAGTAGTAGGAGCGCATGGAGGTGGGGCCGGGGAAAGACCAGGCGGAGTGGTTGTGGGGTGAGCGCGGAGTGGGTGGGGAGGCGGCGGCGGTGGGGAGGGGGGACTGGCCCCAGGGGGTGGGATGGGGGAGAACGGGGTAGCCCGGCGCTTACACATGTCACATGTGCTTTTTAAGACGGCCGGGAGCGCCTGCGAGCTGGATCTGGTGGAGGATGCTGCGGCAGGTGCTTCGCAGAGGGCTCCAGTCGTTCTGCCACAGGCTGGGTTTGTGCGTGAGCCGGCACCCGGTCTTTTTCCTCACCGTGCCCGCAGTCCTGACAATCACCTTCGGCCTCAGCGCGCTCAACCGCTTCCAGCCCGAGGGCGACCTGGAGCGCCTGGTCGCTCCCAGCCACAGCCTGGCCAAGATCGAGCGCAGCCTGGCCAGCAGCCTTTTCCCCCTGGACCAGTCCAAAAGCCAGCTCTATTCGGACTTACACACCCCTGGGAGGTATGGCAGGGTGATCCTCCTCTCCCCAACCGGGGACAATATTTTGCTCCAGGCTGAGGGGATCCTGCAGACCCACCGAGCCGTGCTGGAAATGAAGGTGAACCACAAGGGCTATAATTATACTTTTTCCCATCTGTGTGTGTTGAGAAATCAGGATAAGAAATGCGTGCTGGATGATATTATTTCAGTGCTAGAGGATCTCAGGCAGGCTGCCGTCTCCAATAAGACAACAGCCAGGGTGCAAGTGAGGTATCCCAACACTAAATTAAAGGTATGCTCCTTCTGCATGCTTCTGCCAATTAAAGAGGCAGCACTTCATTTCTTGCCCTAAACAAGCAAAGAAAATGCAGAGGTCTCATCCTTAAGACTCAGAAGCTAATGCTTCTTTCATTTCTGGGGGGAAAAGATGGGCAACTGAGTGAAGAAAACAGGCAATGAATGGTATGACTAGATATTAAGAAATTCAAGGCCAAACAAAACAAATACCAAAAATAAAAAAAAAAAGAAAAATGAAAACAAAAGTTATTTCTGAGACCCTGCAATTACATCTTTGTTCAGGGTTAATAAATCAGTGAATGGAAGGGGGAGGGGGAATCCTCAACAATTTGTGGGATTTCTTTTCATTATGGGGCTCAATGTATTTCTTATTACTGATTACACATCCACCTGGTGTCATATCCACCTATTTACATCTTCAGCCTGGCTTGATTGTTAACATGTGGGGAGTTTGTGTTTTGGTGCCGTGTGAGTGTGTGTCTGAAAGCAGTGAGTTATGAATGTAGTAGGGATTCCAGGAATGATGTGTATGGGTGTTTGCATAGCAAACGAAGCAGGAATTTTCTGTGTATAAAAATAGGAATGTGCACCTAACTGATGTACTAGATAACTGAGTCCAGTGATCTTCCTTTCCCATAAAAAATTCCAAATGAGAGCAAGATTATTACAACAGCCTTATAACAAAAGGAAAGAAAAAAAAATCACAGTCAGCAAAATTTACAAAGAACGGTCATTTCAGCATTAAATATATTGTGCTGTTTAGACTCTCAATTTAAATTTTTTCTCTCAAATGAGATTTCTAAACTCATTCTACACTGTCAAGATTGAGCTGCTGCAGGCAATGAGGCATGCAGTCTCCAGGTGACTGAAGTTTCAGGGACAAATGTGACTTCCAAAAGAGTCACTGCACCATTTGTCTGCTTGACCCTGTTCATGCCCAGAAGCTGCACAGCCAAGAACTCCCAAGACAGGTGTTTCCAAAGAAGAAAAAAATTTTTTTAATGTATGTGAAGATATGTGTGTGCATCTGTGGAGATAGTGGAATAGAAAGGACCCCAGTTTCAATAAATGAATGACCTAATATAGGAAATCACTAATTTGATATAGTCGGCATCTATACATTAAAAAAAAAAACCTTTTTCAGGAGTTTTGAGAGAAAAAATCTTTTTCCTAAATTGAAGGAGGATTTAATGCACTTAGAAACTAGAGATTCTTCAGGGAAACCTTATAACCTGCTTTTTTTTTTTTTCTTAACATGGTGTCCCCATTTAAATGAATCCAGAGGCTGACAAGGGTTTCAGCTTTACAAAGCTGAGCAGCCCCTTGATGTTTAGTGAAACGAAACAGATGATTTATCAGCTTTAAATCTAGGTTAGGGTTTGCCTGCTTCAAACTTATTGATGGGAGCATGTTGGATGTGTGGTTAGGCAGCATGCTTTTCATTTCCCCGAATCCTTTGCCATCAACATTATTGCTTGCTAAAGAAAAGGATGTGGTGGAGAGGTAATCTTCCTAACCTATACTCTTTTAATTGAGTTATTTCCTATACCAAACACCTGGAGTAAAGAAAGATTTGAAACTTTGTCATATATAAACTTCAGTTGGTTTTTCCTATGGAGTCAACTTTGTAGTTCATTAGTATGCATTATTGGTTGGGTCCTCTAGTGCTTGTATTTACAGTATCCTCCAGGTGTAAAATTTTTGTTCAATCAGCCACTGAGGAGATTTTGTTTATCTGGTAATATCATTATGCTATTTACAGTATAAAATCCCTGAGGTATTCAGTTTACTCATTTAATAATCATTTGTTGTGCTCTTATGATTTACTAAATGCTCTCCTAAGCATGTGAGACAGAGTTTGGGGCAAGAAAAGCAAAGTTCTCACTCTCGTGAGGCTTAGCAGTAGTAGTCTGGGTGACAGAGGGATCCCGTCTCAAAAAAAAAAAAAAAAGTAGATGTCAGTGTCCTCACCCAGAGTAACCTGCAAGCTGGAACTCTGCAATCTTTGAGTGCACCATTGACCCAACACCATGCTAGGCCTATAACAGGTGCTTCATGGAAAATTTATGCTGTTTGGTGGTTGATATACATCTTAGTAGAAGTCAGAGGGTAATTGCTAAAGAAGGGAATCATTAATTACAAAGGTTAATATCATAATAGCATAAAAAGAACAGAAGTGTTACACATTAGCTAAAGTTCTTATTCCACAATATTCTAGTATCTATCAATGTTTCCTCAAATGTGTTGTCTTAACTCTCTCTGCCTGGCATCAGTGGGAGTCTTTAAACTATGTTTGGGTAAATTGGGCTTTTGAGATTTTCTGAAAGCAATGGGCCCTCTCAAGTGTTCAAACACAATCTCATGCAATACATAATGGAATATTTAAAATATAATCTTAGGAGTACCATGGATGCCTAGAATCTTGTCAAAGGCTCTCCAGGGGCTCCCAGGATCAGAACTCCCTGGCAGAGAGCAAAATGAGATGGCCTTGTTTTAATTACATGTTATTTAAAAATGATTTTGGTTCCTGTGTTTCAAGGGCTCTCAAAGGATGCCTCTATGATGCTAATACACACTAACATGTGAGAACTCCTGGTGTACAAGATTTGAGGAAAATTTTTATATGTATTTTTTTAGCCCTCAAATTCATTTTGCTTTCTCCTGTTCTACTGGGTCACCACTCTTCCCAACTCTGACCAATATGGAAAATTTTAGTACTGGAAAATGCTATTGGAAGGCAGAAAATTAGGAAATTGCAGAATAAATAGCGGTGGATGCATAACATGAGTATGAATTGGCAATTACTTGACATTAAAGAAGCAGGTCAGTGCTTAGGGACAGGCTGAAGATGTGTAAACACTGATTGACTGACAGAAGTGGTCAGAAACCTTTGTTATGACAACAGAAGGTCATCTTCCAAATATTATTAAGACACCCAGGGAGTCCTGGACACAGAAAGGTTTAGAACTTCTGATAAACATGATTATGTTGACAAGGTGATCCAGACAAGCAGGGACACAGAAAGGTGCCTTCCATGGAATTCCAAATAGAGGCTTAGATAAAACTGGTATCAAAAAAGCAGCCATCGACTTAGAATACCACAAAAGAAATGGTACATATACACGATTTCAAAAGCTGTGTAGAAAATATGCCAAAATCTTAAATCCCTACATCTATATGACATGACCTCTGAAATTATTCCCTTCATTATAATCTTTCTTTTATATCTCTCACTAGGCACACAAATCATATCGTATATCCTTTCTGTACTATTCACTTTCCCCACCCCAACCCAATCTAGTTCTGTGTAGATAGTATTCACAACAAATAGTCATTAACTTATTGATTAATTTGCACACTTATACTGCTATATCACAAAATTATCATCACTTTTTCAACTTTTGTGGCTTACTTTTATTATAAAGGTATTCTTTGTATTCTCCAGCTGTCTTTAAAGTGCTTTTGACCCAAATATTTAGGGGCTATTTTTTTTCAACTATTAAAATATACACATCATACTATTGTATACAGTAATAGAAATGGGCAGACTGAATTTTTAAGTAAAATACTTAACATGTTGTTGAAGTCTACCTCTTGATTAAAGTGAGATAGGCCTTCAGAGTCTTTAAGCAACGACTTTTCTGGACTCTAAGAAATGTTTTCATTATCATTCAAGGAGGTCAGGTGTTTACAGGTAATATTTCCCTGTTTTTAGGTAGGCCAACATAACCTCACTTCTCCACCTGGCTAGTTTCATGAAAGCAACAATTCTCATATGTCCCCAGTTCTTTATTTTAGCTGCAGTAAAGACACAGGTAAAGATTTAAGCAGACAAATGTAGTCCTTCGATATGGGTTTGATTCCAAGTCTAGATCCCAACATCCTGGCCAACGGTGATAGAGAAATAAAGCAAATCTATTTCCCTGAATCCTGCCATTCCCATTATATGCCATTAATAACCACACCTCTGAACAGATGTTAAAGTGAAATCAGTATGTACTTCAATGTACCACATTTGAAATAAGAGCAAAGATAGACTTTCCTGCTTCTTAACAGAAGACAGTGTTCCTTTGGGTACATTTTGGGTGCATGCTCCAGGTTTGGAAGATGTTGCCGTTAATTATTTAGCTCCAATCTCAATGGAACAGTAACTTAAGCCAACATGAAAAGTGAGGACCAGCATTACTTGGGGAAATTTTCAAGCAAAGTTATGCTATGGACTTCTTTCTCTAATTCTAAAACCGTATAAGGTATACATGTCAGGATCTTCTCTGATATTTTGATTTAAGCTTACCTTTCTGACTGAGTAAAACATCACTACCTTACTGAATGTTCAGTTTGTATCCTACATGGTGCTAGGTGTTTCAAACACACATGCTATTTAATCTTTACAAGTTTTTAAGTCAGGGGGATTATTTCTATTCCCATTTTTATAAGAAAGAAAACTGAAGACCAGGAGGTTGACTTCCTTGAAGTCCCCAAGCTAGTACTTGCTGGAGCTTGGATTTAAATCCAGTTCTGTCGGGTACTGAAGCTCATATTCTTAACCACAATACAATATTAGATCCCATGACATCCTCCATCATTCTCTGTAACAACAGCCCTTTATACTAAGAAAGAAGTAGGGCTCTAATTCCTGACATCTGAAATCCATGACAAAATACCAGTACTAATGTTTCACATTATTTCCCTTACTTGCTCAGAGTGACTGGCTCATAGGAAGGTGACACAGAGTGAAGCTTCTAGTTTGGGCAAATTCTTACTATCCCCTTACTGTGGAGAGTTTAGCAAATTCTTCACTGGCACAGGATTTCATCTTTAATATCATTTTCTATCAAGTCAGAACAAACCAAGGTAAGGCTCCAGGATTAGCTAAAAGTAGATTCCTGTAACCTGGCCCAAAGTTTTGAGCCAGTGGCTTATGTGCCAAAGAAGCTTGAGTATTCCTGGCTTCAAATGGCCTGAAAAAAAAAATTTATGGGATAGCACAATATGCTCTAAATTGAGAAATATTCAGGAGACCTGAGTTCTATGAGACCTAGGTTTCTGTACTGGTTAGAACTCTCAGTTCTTTAAGGATCAATTGTGTGACATTAGGCAAGTCTCGTCACCAATGTAGGCGTCAGCTTCTTTCTCTGTAAAATGATAGAGTCAGGCCAGGGATTGTCAGGATTCTTGTCAGCCAATGAAAGTCTATGATTCTTAGGTACCATTCTACCACATAGTAGATAATTATCATTATAGTGGATTTGGGGATATATTCTAGTATGTTTTTCTTCTGGAGTAAAGTACATGTGCTTTTTTCCATTTGAATGATGCTACTGAAAGACTTTGATCATAGCACCCAACTGAATTATTGTACATATTTTTCCTGGCCATCCTATTGGGATAAGTTCTTTTATTGAATTTTTCTGAGCACCCAAAGTGGGCTAAAGAATTGCTTGGCACTGGGGCCTAGTTTCTGCTCCTTGGTTTCAGCAAGGCCTTAAAACCAGATTTAAATCTGGTTGTAAATTTTTCATAAGTACTTTTTTAAGCTTCCTTTTATTTTCCTAAGTCAAGGATTAAAAGAGGGTTAAAAAAAAGTGGGGGGTGGGGATAGAAAGCGTTCTCTCCATTCTTCTTCCCATTTACTTATCTTCAGCTTATCTGATGATAGTTTCCTTTAGTGGTTCAGAACCACCAAGGACTTGGGGTGGGGGTGGAGAGTAGAACTCAAAGACATACCCACATCATGATGGAAGTGTATAAGGAGACCAAGATCATCCCCACCCCGCCAAAAATACCATACTTCTTTCCATGTCCTGACACCATAAGCAATAATGCACTCTAACCGTTTTTATTTTCTTAATCTTTTCTACTTTAAATAATTCTATATTACAAGTGAAGCAATCTTTATGTTGCATTTTTCAAAATACATTGTGTATGCAGAATATTTTGCATTTTAACCCACTAGCGATTACACCGTGATTTGACCACATTGCTTTTAATTCTGTTCTAGAATTGACCAGCTTTTGCCCAGACCTGTTTCAGATACATCCAGACATAGGCTCAATATAAATATTTTTAAAGAAGAAATATGAAAATTCCAACCTCCTAGTTTTGCCCAAGACACCTTTTGATTGGACAGCAGATCTATTTCTTCCCTAACTTAGTTAAACAAATCACTCAAGTCTCCTCCCCAGGGTGGAATCATGGAATGACTCATTTCTCTAGAGTGTTTCTGCCAGTGTGCTGGTGGACAAGGGTACATTTACAACAGCCCTGGCATGCAGAAGTATTTAGGCAATGGTTCTGACTTAAAAGCATGCCAAATTGCATTGTAAGCCACATAATTAATTTCAGTTTGTTTTCTAAGACCTTGCTCCTCAAAGTGTTTTGTATAGACCAGCAGCATGAGCACCACCTGGGAGCTTCTTTGAAATTAAAACTCCTCAGGTCTTACAAAAGACCTACTGATCAGAATCTGCATTTCAACAAGCTCCCCAGATGATTAATATGCCCCTTTGTGTTAGAGACGCTCAGATCTAAAACTCAAGGTTGACCTCAGCACTCCTAATTCATGATGTGATTTGGAAGACTCATATATTGTTGAGACTGAATATGCCATAAGAAAATATGGTAATTGAGACTCTCAGCATATCGTTTATCATGGTGTTATCATGGAAACACCAAAGAGGTATCTGGAGAATTATCAAGAGGCTGTTCTATATTGAAAAACCCTCATCCCTATCATCTACAGTTGAGCCTGTCACCTGTTTAAGCTTTAAGCTGATTACAGTCGTTCAATATTTTCTAAAACTGTTGAAATTAAATCCAACCATCTCTTTAAGAAAAAAAAATCAGCAGCATTTTTCTCAAGTCCCTTTGCAGTTATTTCACAATAGTGGCAGCATTAAACCTTAGTTACTCCAATTATGTTAATATTATATGAGAACGCAAGATATGGGAACCATACATGGGAGTATTTGGAGGAAAATGAAACACAAAATTACAGAAGAGTGTACCTTTAAAGTGGCATTGTAATCTATGCTTTCTTCAGACAGGATTATTATGGAAGAGCCTCTCACTGAAATCAAGTCTCATTTTCTGTCATTGAGATGAATTCAGGGCCTCTGAAAGGTGCCTGATGAACAGCATTCAAAAATGAATGGATTGTGTTTAGTTACAGGATTTGTGTTGGAACAGTCGATGGTTCTCTTCTGGAGCTCCCCTCCCAACATGGAGAGACCTCACCTGGGATCTTCTAACTTTGCCATTTCAAAGGCTGAAGGCGTGTCAGGCACGGTGGCTCACGCCTGCAATCCCAACACTTTGGGAGGCTGAGGTGGGTGGATCGTTTGAGCCCAGGAGTTCAAGACCAGCCTGGGCAGCATGGTGAAACCCCATCTCTATGAAAAAATACAGAAATTAGCCAGGTGTGGTGGTACACACCTGTGGACACAGCTACTTGAGAGGCAGAGGTAGAAGGATGCCTTGAGCCTGGCAGGCTGAGGTTGCAGTGAGCCAAGACTGCATCACTGTATAGCCTGGACGAAAGAAGGAAACCCTGTCTCAAAACAACAAAACAAAAAGACTGAAGACAGAGCATAGGTTCTGGGTTCTAGAAAGCTAAAAAGGTATGTAAAGGGCTCTCATAGTTTCAGGAGGTTATGAAAGAAGATCAGGTATTCATGACAGATGGAAGTTTGTTTGGATGTTAAGGGTTCAGCCTCAAAGTTTACTCTTCCCTTTAAATTTGAGCTCCGTTCTCTTACCTCACCAGGTCCTTTAATGACATGGAGAGTGAGCATGTTCAGTTCTGATTGTCAGTGCAGGCCATACTAATGTGGGTAAGACAGACATCGTGTGGGTAAGATTCAAAAGCCATTCACATACACATTCATTTAGGAAACTTTTGTGTCTGCTAAGTCACATGCAATGTGTTGGCCACTGGAGATTCAGTGAGACAAAACAGATGTGGTCCTTGCCCTCCGGGAGCTTGAGTCTTGTTAAAGAAAGCACACACACACACAATCACATAGATAAATTCATAATTACAAATTATCATGGATGAAAAATACATGATGCTGTGAGAATAGAATACCAAGTTTTGGGGTAAAAAACGGTTTTCTTGAGAAAGTGACTGTGAGCAGAGATCTGACGGGTGAGAGGGAGTTAACACACAGGGGTGGGTTAATGGTAGAGACAATAAAGAATATGATGGAAAGGACGTGGTGCCCTAGAAGCACTGAAGGAAAGACACTGTGGATAGAGGTTAAAGAGTGATGGTGGTGAGTGCTGAGGGTCATGTAATGAATTTCTTGAGAGTCAGCATAGGTCAGGGTTTGTATATCCAGATTGTGTTACATCTCAGACCTACCCCCATTAAGTCTATGACTTTAGGTACTTTTTTGTTTGTTTGTTTGTTTGTTTGAGACAGTCTCACTCTGTCGCCCAGACTGAGTGCAGTGGCGTGATCTCGGCTCACTGCAACCTCTGCCTCCCGGGTTCAAGTGATTCTCCTGCCTCAGCCTCCCGAGTAGCTGTGACGGCAGGCACCCACCACCAAGCCCAGCTAATTTTTGTATTTTTAGTAGAGACAGGGTTTCACCATGTTGCCCAGGATGGTGTGTATTTCTTGACTTTGTGATCCGCCCACTTCCGCCTCCCAAAGTGCTGGGATTACAGGCGTGAACCACCCCGCCCTGCCCATTTTTTAACTTCTTTGTAACACTTCCCTCATAATAGCCCTTACCTTACAGTATTGAGTGTATTAAATCAGCTCATAATACCTTAGGCAGTACTTCTCATACTCTAATAATCATCTAAGAATCTTGTTAAAAATGCAGATTCTTCTTCAGTAGGTCTGGAGTGCAGTGAGAGTCTGCATTTCAAGCAAGCTCCCGAGTGACACTGATGGTGCTGGTACATGATCCACACTCTGAGTAGGAAGATTATAAGGTGCTTAGAACAGCACCTGGTTCATTATACATTCTTAACAAATGCTAGTGGGTTAAGTTCTTGAGCGTTGACCTTCAGCATTGACCTTCTGCCCTTATCCGGAAGACAGGGAATTACCTTCTTTTGAATTCATGATTAGATTTAAAAATCATTTTTGTTTCAACTCTCAAAGCTGAAAATCTCTCCTATTTTTGGTAGTCCTCATTAATTCCTTAGTAAGTGTAATAAGATGGACATAGACCCTTCTGCCTTTTGCACTGAAGAACTGGAGCTGCCTGCAGGTCATTATTCGGAATGTGACCTCTCTTTGCTAAGGACAGTTAAAAGTAGCAAAGGAAGATCTCTTGGACCCTTGTCTCAGTGTGCACTGGGTCTGAAAGTATTTTCAAGATTGTATTTTTATGATATTCTAAATAGAGCTAGCCTTGACCACTTTCTTCCCTCTTGGTTTTGTGAGATTATGGTTTTTCTATTTCTCTGATGGTTCTCTACCGTTTGCTGGCTTACTTTCTTTTCCATTCCCATAAGCATATTTTTTAATAATTTTTTTTCTCAGAATCCATTCTCTTAATATTCTCATTCAAGCCAAGCATCTGCTATTTTCTTCCACATCTGTAACTTTTTCAATGGCATCTCTATGCTACCATTAACTCAGACTCAGTGTCTCGGTCATCTATAATTAAGTTTCCCCCACTCAGTCAAAACATATAAACAGTAATATCTAATTAATCATCGGACCATAATCATTCTACAGCAGTAGTTCTCAAAGTGTAGTCCTTGGACCAGCAGCATTGTCATCACCTGGGAACTTGTTAGAAATGCAAATTTTCAGACCTAATTCGGGATCTGCTGAAACACTGGGGCTAGCGCCCAACAAGCCCTGCAGTTGATTCCGATTCCACTTAAAGGGTGCTCAGTCTTGGCTGAGTGTAGAAATCATTAGTGGAGCTTTAAAAATACTGATTTCATGGATCCCATCTAGAGAGATTCAGATTTAATTAACCTGGAGATGGCCCAGGCACTGTGACTTTTAAAGGCACCTCTGGTGACTATAACAGATTACCAATGCTCAGAACCAAAGTCTTTTTTTCAAATATATTTTCATTTTCATTCTTGGCTGTCTCTACCTGAGGCCTTCATTGTCATTTATCTATTCAAGTGACAACCTAATCTTTCTCACTATAATTTATCAGGCTTAAACCTAGTCTACATTACAAGATCATGTGAATCTCTTGATTATTCTCTTCCTTAACCAACACTTACAAGCACTTCCCATTTCAGGAAGAAAAAACTACAAACTCCTGACCATGGCCACTGAGAACTTCCCTTAGCTCAGCCTTCAAGTTCCCTTGTAGTTTCAGTTATCATTACATCAAATGCTGCAACAAACAAAAACAATCACATCTTGAACTTTCCTGGTTTCTTATCATCATTCATACTCTTCCTTTGGCTTGGAATTTATTGCACAGTCAAAATCATACATATCTCTTAAAAGCTGAGGCCTTAAAGCCACTTTTTCCATGGAGCTTCTCTAAGTACTTCCAGAAGTAGAAAGCATTTTCATGTACTTTAGAGGTAGGTAGTTCCCTTAGTCTCCATCTAACTTGTGTTATAAATGTACAGTGAATCTCTACTAAAGTGTAAGTGTATGTGTCTAATGAACTAATAGGGCATTTAGCTTTCTTAGCATAAATTAATTTGCCTGGGAGGATATAACCAGCAAGGAAATCTGCAGGGCAAGTCCTTGAAGGAAGTTGTAAAGGAATCAAACCAAAGCCCATTCCAGTCAGTCTGATATCCTATGATTTGTCCAAGCTCTGGCTACAGAAAGACATTGAAAGCCATTTTCATGAGTGGTCCTGAGATACACGAGGCACAAGCAACAGCTTTGGGCTCAGAAAAAAAAAACAAAAAAAACAAAAAAAAACAAAAAAAACCGCCGCCAGAAGAGGGAGGGAGAGACTTTTTACCCACCTGTACACAGCACCCATGTGGCTTCAGCTAAGGAAAGGTTGCAGAGAGCATATGCTTGGGCACCTGATGGGTTGCCAAATATAGCAAGTAAAAATACAGGACACCCAGTTAAATTTAAATTTCAGATTTTGTTTTAAAGAATAACTTTTTGGTTTAAGTATGTAATAAATATTGCATTCTTTACTTATCTGAAATTCAGATTTAACTGGGTGTGCTATATTTGATCTGACAAAAATGGCACCATGAGAGCTTGCAGAATCACATCTGGAGACTTCAGCACAGACTTCAGTGTCACATGGTCACCAGTGCTTGCAGTTCTAACTCACAGCAGTGATCATCAGCCAGAAGGTTGAAGAGGAAGACCATGAAAGGCCTAGAGGAGACTACTGAAACATATTCTGTATTCTAAGGACCCCTAGAAATGCATAGGTGAAGGTCTGCAAGGGCCAGAGCTCCCATCATATTCAAGTGGGAATGCCAGCAAGTGAAATTTAAGTTACTCTTAATATGACCTCTTTTGTATACTCTGGCCTTAAGAAACCCGAGTTACATTTATTGTTTTAATATATCCAAGAAAGTACACTCAATTAAGATTTCACTGAATCCAAATGTCTTTTGTTTTATATTTAACTATGAGAAAATAGAAACTATATATACATCAGAAAAATTTGATTACTGAAAATAAATGACAGGCACATATTAGTGAAAAGTTACAGACTGAAAATATTAACAGGCTAAAACCTGAACCCCTAGACAGTATAGGTTACCCTTTCTATGTATGAAAAATTTCATTAAAAACAAAGGTGAAGCATACTGTTAACATTTGTACTATAGCACTAATAAGTATATGTGTTACTTAGAACCTTTCTTATTTTCCTTCAAAATTATGAAGCTTTTGAAAGTAGCCTTTTATAAAGCTTTTGAGGATATGTATTGTATCTCGTTTACATTTATAGCCTTCTCCACATAATTTAAAAACAGTTTTGCATATAAGAAAGCCTTCAGTAAATGACGGATGAAATGAAGTAAATGTAAATGTATTTGTTTAGGAAGGGAGTTCTCATTTAGTGCTGATTCTGGTTGCCTGAATCTGTTTAATTCAACATTTACCATACTTTTCCACTAAGAGTGGGAAACATTGGATACCATCCTAATATTCCATATGTGGCTCTTGCATAGTACCCTTCCTTCATGGGAAAAACCTAGCTTGTCATTTCTTCTTCCCAGGAACTGAGTCTTTCCGTACAATTCAATGTAGGGGACAGTATCTACAGGGCAAAGACCTGGGTAGGTGAGGCAGAGCCTGCATAACAAGGCATGAGGCCAGAGAGGGTAGGGCGCCAGTAAGTGCCCCAGGAGACAGATACTCACCCTGCAAGAACACCTCAGGGGAATGAGAGAAGCTCAGGGTTTGAACTAGTTTAATGACCCCCTTTTATAGATAGAGCATACGTCTCTGAGGGAGTAGCACATAAAGCTGATATTAGCAGCTTGGCTCTTATTTTCATTTCATTCTTTCAATTATTTTCACCTTGGGGATTGTTTTTAAGGAATTGGATTCTTTCTAGGCTGTGAGCCTTTAGACTTTTTTATTAGCTAATCACATCTTATTAGAGTATCTCTTCCAAAGCAGTGTTCAAATTTATATTTTTAGAGTTAACTTCTCTTAAAAAGTGGTTTATAAACTGATATTATCTTACTCATCTTCCTCTTGATTGAAAAATATTTTGGTAATTGATAACTAACTTGATAAGAGCTTCTCACTCCCCATCTTTCCCTCTCAGCTCAATATCCTGTGAATTCATTGACTGGAAATTTATTTCCCATCTTTAACTATAAAATACACAGTTGTCATCATAGGTTGCATGTCTTTTTTATCCTATTTATTTTTATTGTTTTATCATAAACTTATAAGCATCCATTGACAATCAGACCCACTTAGACTAAAGCAACAAATGTTTTTACTGGGTGGATCCTGTTTCTTGATGGACTAGTAGGGGAGCCAGTTATTGATCGAGTCTGTCTTTAAAATTTTTTACATAATGATGAAGTGGGTAACACATAGGAAATAGACAAATCTATGAATCAAATATCTCCACTTACTTGCTGTATGACTTTGGATGTGACACTTAACATCTTTGTCCCTCAGCTTTTCTGGGATCAAAAAATGGTATTGTTAGTATACACCCTGCAGATTTTCAAAATTTTTAGCACTTGGTAGTTTTTAAAATAAATTGTAGCTAGTTTATATTAATATAAACTCAGAATCCTAACATCATTGGAAGATTAGGAAACCACGTGATAAATCACTTACCATCCCTGCACTAATTCTATAAAAAAATTATTTCCAGCCTTTAACTATAAAATACACGGTTGTCATCATAGGGTGCATGTTATTTTTTATCCTATTTATTTTTATTTTTTTATCATAAGCATATTTATAATCATTTTACCGGTTGCACAAAAGTTCACCAAGTAGCTATGATGTAATTTACTTAACCATTTATTGGTAACTTTAGAATACTTCTGGGGCAGTGTTTTGGGACTGAATTTTACAATCCTTAACAGACATAAGGAAGAAAGTAAAACCTTCTGACTTGCTAATAGAAACTGTAGGGAGAAATAATTCTTGTATGATTTAGAATGTTGCTTTCATAAGTTTAAACTTATGAAATTTATGCTTCCATAAGTTTAAACTTTCATGTAAACTTAAGAAAGCAAAATATAAATATAGGTCAACAAGTTCCAGGGGAGCAGTTGTTTCAAGAAAAACCTTGGATAGAAATTAGGAGGACCTGAGTTATTTATAGGCCAACTCCAACATGCTGTAAATTGCTTTGTTAAGGACTATATCCAAGATTAAGCTTCTAAGAGTACCTTGTGGCTTATCCTATTACTAAGTAATTTTTACTCCTTTTCACTTGGTATAGTTCAATGATTCTTCAAAGAAACACTTCAGGAACTTTTCAATTATGTAATGTCTGGGGCCCCTCTTAAGATCGATTGAATCAAAATATCTGGGGAAAGAACCCAAGCATTGGTGTTTTTCAAGATCCTTGAATGATTCCAGTGGATAGCGAAATTGAGAAATACTAAAGAACCTGAAACCGAAGAAAGATCCCCCTATCTTACCTAGCTCTTTTGTGGACGGGATGAGAGGATAAGGGAACACTTTAAAATAGCACCCATGCTGCTTTCCCTGAAACTCAGCTTCAGGCCAAGTTTGGGGTCTCAAAGGAGAGAACATCTGCCCTGACACCAGGTACCACGGTACCATTTTCCTGCCTGGTAAGTTGCCCCCATGGGAGCTCTGTAGCTAAAGGGAACAACTTTATCCTTTCCTGTACTTCCCTAATCTATAAATATTGGCTAGAAATATGGTGTCTTAATCAATTTGCTATGCTCCTAAGATGTCCCGGATTGCTTATCATTGGGAAAATATGTCCGGAGACACTTTAAAAGGCACACTAGTTTAACACATTAATGCAAGGGCATTCATTTTAAAAAGGAAATATGTAGACTCATGGTAAATATTTATTATGTTGATGATAGGGTCAAAAGTAATAAATTTTCATAGCTTAATGAAGTAAAATATTAAAACTTACTATAGACTTTTGATTTTTATTAAATTGTTATTAGCTCTCTGATTTCCATCAAGATAAACTAAATTCCTAGGCATCCTGAGATGGTCATTGTTTGTTTGTGATTTTGCAACTAATTTATTAATGTTATCCATTGTTAACCTATACTTTTGCTAAGCATATAGTAAGAGATAAGTATATGTCAAATTAATGAACGACAAAGTGAATTACTCTTTGACTTTTTAGCTGTCACGTTTTGAATATTAAAAGCATGATATTAAAGAATTTTAATCAGTCTTAGCTTAAACAAGACTTACTTGACATTCTCCGGCCAAATTGCATGTTTTCTGTCTCTTCACCTGTAAACAAAATGTTATACTCTTCTTCTAGATGTATTTACTAGTTTTAGCAAACCTGAGATCTCTCATTCATTCATATAAGGATCCTGGCTCCCCCAGATCAGTGTGGCAAGTCAACTCATATTCAAACAGTATTAACATAATATCAATTAGAGGAAAAGCATGTTCATTAAAGTGCAATGAATATTTAAAGTAGTTCCAGCTACATCGAAGCCATAATCATCCAAGTGCCCTTCTTGGGTCAGTAGAAAGCTTTTCCATTAGAAGTCCAGTGGGTTCACAAATCATTTACTCCCTCTTTTATTATTTTTAAACGGCAATTATAAATCCCTTGATACATAAGGTGAAAGGATGTTTTCTCAGTTAATATGAGTGATGTAGTATACACCACTGGCCACTGATAACTGGAAATTTTACATTACAAAAGGAGAGCCAAACATTTAGTACCCCATTATCACCTTTATATTAAATACTCTGTCTTTGACAGAAAGGCAAAAGCACTTTACATAGTTGAATCCGTATCTGCCTTATATTTTGCAATGCCATATAAAATAGGGAATTAACTCCTTTTCTATTTACTGCTCTAACACACCTCCAAAGAGTTTAACGTAAGCATCATATTTTGTGCATAGAGTTTCACAAAATGTATCTCCAAAAATTGTGGAGGGTTGTCTCATCTACGCACTTCAGGGAGCTCTGTTATATCTAAATTTCCTTAGTAACTTACTCACTATTTAATGTCTCTCCAGAAGAAAATTTTTTCTCATTTCTCTTTAAAACAAGCGATTGCTATTTGTTATTCTTCTAGTGGAGAAGGAGAACCAGTCATTCCTTTTTTTTTTCTTAAACTGTTCTTTACCTGTGACCTTGGAAATGATAATTATATTTTCTTAGCCTTCACCTCTCTGACTAAAAATCTCTCACACATAGATCTCATTCTCAACCTCCTACCCTTTTTGTTTTTAGCTCCTGAAACATTAAACTTTTAAGTTCAAGAAATTAATGCACCTCCTAAGTGCATATGATGTGTTATTTATAAAGATATCTAGGTGTCTTCTCAACTTTCTCCTCCCTGTATTTGTCTTATTTCAATGAATACTATTCTCAAAAGAGATGTATTCTGTGCTTACATTGTTTCAGACACTGTGCTTGGCACTGGGGTTATAGAGATAAGTCACAGGCTTTCTTTTTCAGAAACCTACAATCTAGTCAGGAAAGAAGACAGGTAAATAGGAAGTTAGCAGCACAGTCGGGTAACTTGAATCTTAAAAGTTAGTCCAAAATGATCTAGAGTTCTAAATAATTCAGAATTGTTGTTACATCAGATTCAGCCTCCTCAAGAGCTCTATACTTTTAAAAAATGGGCTTTACTTGTTGGTGAAAATCTTTCAGAGCTGCTTATCTCAATTGGTAATAAATGTTTTCTTTTTCAAAATTTATTCATTAAAATTGAGGTCAATGGAGAGCTGCTCTCTGCAAGCAGGGAACTATTTTGCTATGATCAGTTACTCTGAAGGTTATGAAGTCAGCATAAAATCCCAATAATGCTATAGACTTAAAAAATGAATACAAAGCAGGAAAATTTTATGGGTATGGACCAAGAAATATTAAGATGAAAAAACATGAGGGTTATTAATCATCCACAGGACCTGGCCAGAAGATTGTCAGATAGTGGAACTTTCCATGACCCCAAAAATTATCCTCCCTTTGGTCTTTTTTCCCTAGTGTGTAAGAACTGTTAAGGTAATTGTGGGACTACTTAACAAGCAAAAGTGAAGAGTATATATGACTTCTTTTATAAATCCCGAAGCATCCACAGCTAAGATGGTAAAATTATGAAGTAACTATAGCTAAGATGTTGAGCATTTTTAATAAGGACTAAGAACAAAGACTTAATTCCTACTTTTGTTTTGGGTAATACCTGATTTAATAAACATTCTGACTTCATGCCTATTTGGGTGATTTATCAGCATTTTTATTCCCATTAAACAAAGGGGGAGTAATTTTTATACCTTTATAAAAGGTCATATTAAATCTTTAAATCATTAAATCTTTAAAATTTGTTGATTAAAAATAATCAACAAATGTTATCTCACAGTTTACTGATTGAAAGGTTGTTTGCTGTGTGTTCCTGAGAATTGATGTTCATCTACAAATTGTAGGACTCCAAGTCTCTGTGTTAAGAAATATAAAATGAAAATGTGCATTTTTCTCTTTTTTCTTAAGGATTATTTTGTACTAGCAAAGTGAAGTACAGCATTACACAACTGCCCAATTAATTCAATTATCATGAATAGAAAATCTAGATATTGTTATCTGACTGTCCTATGACAGCACTTTTGTTTTAGTTATCTCAGTAATTATTTGGCTCTGTATTTTGTTTCCTTTAATGCACACACAGTAAGACTTCAGGTTGGGAAGTCTCTTTCTTTAAATTTTTTGAAGACAGGGATAGGTCAAGTCTCATCTGATATGGATCTATGGGAGCAGTTCCACCATGTAATGGTGGTGTGTGCTCAATGGACCAAATGCTCCATGTCATTTGGAACAGGACCTGCTCCAAATAATGTGCATGAATTTATTTGGTTGTCACCAACAGCCCTTAGAGCACTATATTATTCTCATTTTTACAGTGAGAAAACTGAGGCACAGATAGTTAAGTAACTTGTTAAAGTCCACTCAGATTGGATGGATCCAGTATTCCTACTGTAGCACCTACATTCTTACTCATTCCTAAAGCATTGACCAGCCATATAGTTCCCTCAGTCTTCAGTTTCGTTGTCCATAATATATCTAAAGTTGTTTTTGATATTTTTCATGGGAAACTCAAGATTAAAAGTGGAAAAGGATTTACTGTATCATCAAATTCATTCTCACTTAGAACTAATAAAAGTATATTCCCTATAGCATTTTTTCCAGAAGGAATTTAGTCAGTTTTATTAAGTTCAATTTATGTGCACATCATGTAATTGATCGAATTTCTGCCACTTTTCTTGGAAGACTCATCTGAAGCCCTAATAAACCTGACTAATATCGTGACACTTCTCTATTATAAAACTATTTCTCTTTATTATGATGTTCCATTATTCCTTTTTCTATTAACAATGTAGAATGACCTTACATAATTCTTCTTTTCTTAATAAGCCATGTTGATACCTAGTTTTCATTAACAGGCTAGAAATCGAAAAACACAACTTGGCTTTGTAGAATAGAAGCCAACGTAAACAGAAACATATTTGATGTAGTTTTACATTGAGGTCTTTCTGCCACAAATTTTGACTGGGGGAAACTGGTAGCCAAAGTTTTTCTTATCTTATTTAATAATGACTACTCTGAGAGTACCCAAAATATTGAAGATATGGTGAATAAACATTTATGGAGTCCTTACTGATAGTAATAGATTGTGTGTTACCAAAGCAGTATGAAATAGTAGCTCAACCAGCAAAGAATTTACGATGTAGTTCACATGTCACATATATACAGAGAGTCTACAAGGCAGTAAAGGCCTAATGATGGATGCAAGCACTACTTGCTATGGATAGGAGTTTAGAGGAAAAATGGATCACCTTTATCTTTCCCCAAGGCTTTTAGGATGAAGTGAGATTTGAGCTCATTCCAAAAACAAAGGTTGGAATCAGGTGGAGAAATGCAAGAACACTTTGCACAAAAGAAGAACCAGTCTTTAGAGCATGCTCACTTGGGTAGTAAATCAACATTTTTATCCTCATTAAACACATGAGTGCATTATTTTAGTCTTGAGAGCTAGGCAAGGTAGGCTAATTAAAGACACAGAAAGCCACCTTGGAACAGCCCAATGTAGGACCCTCAAGTATTTCAATATTTCAGAGAACTCGAAACATGTGTAAGTTCTCTAGGTCAGGGTTTCTTGACCTTGGCACTATTTGGGGCCAGATGATTCTTTGTTGTGAGATTGCCCTGTGCATTGTGGGATGTTTAGTAGCATTCCTGGCCTCCACCCTCTAGATGCTAGTAGCATCCTCCTCCTCCCCCAAGTCGTGAAAAACAAAAACAAAGTCTCCAAACATTGCCAAGTGTCCCCTGAGGCACAAAATTGCCTCCTGTTGAGAACCACTGCTCTGGATCTATGAACATTGAGTGAAATAGTTCTCACAGATTTCTCTGCCCACAAGCCATCAAGAAAATCGTCTTTGTACCTCATCTAAATCCCTCACAGTGAATGTTGTCAATCATCTTCTTCAGTGGTCTCAGAATGTGTGCCTTCCATGTCAAAAGTACACAGGCCACTTGGCAGGAAGCCAGACTCTACTCTCTGAAGAATTTCTAGGATTCCCAGTGAAAGCCACTAAGAAACACTCACTAAAATATATTCTCCACTGAGGAAAAACTCTCTAACCTTGTTCACTTGTGAAAGTTGTAGTCCTATTTAGATTAGAAACCTATTTCAATTGTAAATCCTGTTGGTCTGGGAAGCTCAGCATTTAGGAGAGAACACAGCTGGTGCTTCCTGGATGTTAAATAATTCATCTTCCTCATTTTGGAGAGTCAGAAACAGCGAGCTGAGATGCTAAATCCTCAGTAATACTGCAAAACCTAGTCACTGGCACAAAGGAGGGAAAAGGCCTACTAAATCACAGAGGCCATCCTCCACAGCCTTAGGGGAAGCTGTAGAAAAAATGTTATTTGCTAACTTGATTTTTCCCCATTTTGGCAACATAGGAAAGATAGGTTGCCCTGAGAGAGTTTTGTGAAACTCAGTTAAACAAAATCAGCCTGTTATATGTCTCTCATGCAGACAGTTCATTTTTCAAGTGAAGTATTTTGAACTTTCTAAAAAATATTTTCCCCAGAGATTAGAAGATAATCATGGAAAATGGGGAACCACCTGCTCAATTGCAGTTAGTAGAAAATAGATGACATTTGAATGACTGCTTGATGATAAATATTTCTCATTAAAATTTCTATTCTCACATTTGGCTATTTATTGCATAATCTATTTTAGGCCAAATTTTCCTAGTACCTGCTTTAAGTGCATCTAGCATTTTCATACAACCCTGGAAACCACATTAAATTCTCCAAAATGCTCAGCTTCTTCAACAGTGTTTCACAACAGTTCATTACCCCTTTTTCAGGTAACTAGTAATCTTAGAACTTCTATTTCTGTTCCATGAAAGGGTTTTTTTTTTTTTTTTTTTTACTAGAATGCTTATTTTATATCTTAAGGACACAATATCCATTTTCATATGTGAGAGAATTCTTATGTGTACTATTACATTTGTATGCTCTTATCTTAGTCATATCAGGCTGCTGTAACAAAAATACCATAGACAGAATGACTTAAACAACGAAGATTTATTTCGCACAGTTGTGGAGTTTGAAAAATCAAGACCAAGGCACTATCATATTCATGGTCTGATGTGGGCCCCAGCCCCTGGTGCATAGACTGCTCTTTTCTCTCTCTGTCCTCACATGATAGAAGGGGCAAGGGAGCCTTCTGGGGCTCTTTAATAAAAACACTAATCTCATTTGTGAGGACTCCACCCAGATTACCTAGTCACTTCCCAAAGGCCCCACCTTCAAATAGCATCACATTGGGGATTAGGATCTCAATATACTAATTTTGGGGAGAGATAAACAGTCCATAGCAGCTCAGTTAAACCAAGTTGCATTGATTATGGGGCTCTCATGAGAATTTACAATGCTGAATGATCTCAAAAATCATTATGTTTTGATATGTGCTGCCTAACTGGTTGACTCTATAAGACATAAACAATCAAACACATTTTTTCATTGGTCCAGCTATGTAGTTTTGCATTTAGGTCCACTGAGAGTAAATGCAGAGAAAAGTAAAAGGTAGTAATAGAAGTCTATGTGCAACCATTGTGGTTATCAAAGCAATGCAAGTTTCTAAGTGATAATTAGAGGGGGATTTTCTTGGGGTATATAAATAGATAAAAATTGAATTTCCTAACTGGAAGCTGGCCAGGAGTGGTTTGTAACAGCTATATTCTCTTGAAAAAAACACTACAGTCATTAGAACAAGAGAAGGGAAGGGAGAGAGTTCTACCAAATAACATCTCAGTTTTGGTTCATTTATTAAACTTTATTCTCATCTCATAAGAACAAAGGGGGAAAAAATCATTCTGGTGATTGGACCTATGGGCCAGGCAACCCAATATTCAGGCTCTCATAGTGAATCCAAGACATTGCAAGCAATATTCAGTTTATGACAGTGGTGTCAGAGGAGGTGTTATGAGCATCCACACTGTTTTTTCCTTCATGATGTTTTCTTCAGAAAACATTTAGAAGTTAGGAATATAACCTGATCTACTTATAGCTTCTTAATAACCCAGATTGTTTTAATATGCCCCAAAGAGGAACAACTTAATTAAAACAAGCCTCAATTTTAATACGTTTCAAATATTTCTTCCTGGGGAAACTTTATTTTATGTGCATTTTATTTTATTTGAAAATTGACAAGTTGTATAATAAATTAGATGTTATACTGCAGGACAAGATATGTATTATTAAACAAACTGCAGGACCTCTTAAAAGTCAGAACAATTGAGAAAGCTGTTCCAAAATAATATCAGTAAGTTTAGAATTATATAGAATAAAAACTGAAATTGCTGAAGAAGTTTAAAATAAGGGTCCATGGAAGTAATATAGATAATACATTTCAAACAGTTGTTTATAACTAACATTAAAAGGTAGAAAATAATCAATCCATCCTATTAATTGAATATATATTCATTCAATTTAAACTGAAGTCATGGTACTGAGACTATAACTGACACTTCTAATTCTATCAGAATCCTATTAAGAGGAGACTGGGAGAATTCACTCAAAAAGCTTCATAGGAACAGTGCTTCCCCCAAAAGCTACTTGCATCTTCAGTTATTTTGTTTCCATAAAGGAGCAGCTCCAATACGAATGAGTGATGTAAGAAGACTTAAATGTGGGCAAATGTCTGGGAATCAGTGGCCCAACAATATACAATGAAAAGGTCTTAACCATGAAGGAATGACATTAAAAATTAGCTAAAGTAAACTCGTTCAGAGATAGCAAGTTTTAGGATTATTTTCTGATTTGTTCTCCTAAGTAACTTACATTCATTTGTCCCCTGGTATTTACTCTCCAATTTTCCTTTTTCACTGGATGTCTGAATATCTAGTTCCAACAAATTGTTAAGTAAAGAAGCTGGCAAAGTCACAGCTTATACCAAGACATGGCAAGTGTTAAGAATATAGCTAATATTCTTGATATGGATTTTAAACACCTTGTTAAAAATTTGTTTAGCCATTGATTTATTCAACAAACATTTCAGTGAGGATCCCTTATATACTTGAACCTATGCTGGACCCTGAGGGAATGAAGATGCGTTAAAGTCAATCTCTGTACTCAAAGCTGCAGAGCTGAGTGGGAAAAAAAAAAAAGAAAAAAAAAATCTCTGGAATCAGACCAACTTGGAATTGCATCCTGGCCTTGTTACTTTATAGCTGTGTGATATTGAATAAATGATGTTATCTCCAAGCCTTTGCTTTCTTATTTTAAAATGGGGATAATTACAGGAAATATCCTATACATCACTGGAAGGACTGAAATGAGACATGCTTTTCAGTGTCTACAACAAAATAAGAAATGAGTAAATATTAGCTCTTATGCTCTGAAGGGAAGAACAATAAATAAAAATAAATTCAACAAAACCATAGAGGTCTCTAAAGGGGGAGTGCTAGGCATCTGTTGTCACCTTATGAAAAAGAAGAATGAAAATGAGCCATCTTTTGTGGGTAGAGGCATTGCTAGAATAATCAAAACCTGAGATGTTAGAAATATTACGACTCAAACACTTTTAAATGTGATCAAGGAATTACTCTATTTCTCACCTCTGCTGTTAGAGGAGAGAATGGAATCAAACCATAGTAAAGGATTAGGCCAAAGAAAACTTTCTAATTCTAAAGGTTGTTAGTAAAAATTAATCACTCCACAAAACATATTTTTAGAAGTACAGCATGCAGTTGTCTCTCCTGGACAATTTAGATGCAGGGCCGACTGGAGCCAGAGGGGTAAAATCTTGAGGATCTTCCTCTCCTCCTGTGATTGATGTAGGGATGATATGCAGAGTTGACAACTTATAATAACCATTGTGGCAGAGATGGAAGGGCTGTCATAAAAGGTCTGGAGGCATAGGTGGCAGTTGTATTTCTATAAGAAATGGGGCATATTCTGTAATGTGTGGGATTGCATAATCTTTCAAAGGTTTGATGTGGAAACACTAAGATATAAATTCGGCTTGCAAATTCTACCTAGAATTGTAGCCTCTAAATCTTATGGTGCTATTCCATTGAAGTTCAATGGTATGAATGCTGTTTGACAGGATTTTGAGGACTTCATTATTTGGAATCCATGCCAAAAATATTTGGAGATTTAAACCTCAAAATTCCTATCTTATTCATTTCAATAAAAGAGGATTCTTAGCATGATAAAAAAGTGGGAATAAATAAAATTGGAGCATACCAATACCTGTTTTTCATGCTCTAGGCCAAGTGTCAGTAAACTGCATAAGCAAATGAGCATGGCTGTGTGCCATTAAGACTTTATTTAAAAGAAAAACTGGCAAGGGCCAGGTTTGTTTGGTGGGCTGTACATTGCCAACCCCCACTTTATATTAAAAAACACAGTGTCACTCAATCATTATTTTTTTCAAAATGATAAATAATGTTTTTCTTCTACTGGAAAACAGATACCCTCAGCTCCAAGTTTGCGCTGTAAATCTGTTTTCTTTCTGTCTTCAAAATGTTGCATCTACAACTGCACTTCGACTGGAAGACTCAGATCTACAAAGAAAAAAATAGACAAATGTATTACAAGTTTCTATTACATACTTGCACTCAATTTGGAAGTAATTTGTGGACACTAAAAGACTGGATGAAAAGAATGTAGTTCCAGATAACAGCAGAATACCCTCATGGTGTGTCAAAACTTTCTGACAGGAGGGAGTAGAAAATGTCAGATTCTTCCTCTTTCATGCAAAAAAATTGCTCAGTTCATGAAACTGCCTTAGGATGCAAGTACAAAAATTAAAATATTAATGAAAATACACAAAACAGCAGCTTTCAACAACCCCCACCAGTCTCAGGAAAGAATTCATAAAATAAGAATTTCACTGGGTCCTGTAATGAGGATCAATTGGGAAAAACAAGGTTCCTATTCTTATTCATTTCTCCTATTCTTCCCCGCAAACTTCACAGTTTTTACGTTCTAATTCTCATATACTGCAGGCAATTTTACTTTAGATTTTGGATCAAGGGTCTAAACCTGAAAACTCTCTGCTTCTGCCTCCAGGTTAAATAGCATCTTGTCTTAAGATCTGCTAGAATTCTGTATAACTTTTACAGTGCATCTGATAAGCTTTATCCCCTCCAGGAGGCAGACAGCCTCACTTTTATAAATACTTGGCATCTGGAAGCATGTTTTTAATTTTTGAATATTGCAATGAGCTTGGCACCTATTTTTGGTGGCATTTCTTAGAGACATTGTACATAGTCAGAACAGCAAGCACAGGCATTTGAATTTAAGGAGCGATAACATTTTTGGGTTTGAGACTGTATCCATGCTTTGCTGTTACAAAGAAAATGCATTATAGCAAATGACTTAAACTAAAAATAAAGAAATTTGCAGAAAGGGCAAATGTACTTAAGGTAAAACTTTGAGATTAAGATAAAAAATAGTGAGATAACAGAATCTTAACATTCTAAATTACAGTCTTGATTTTGAAAGTCAAAAAAACGCTGCCTTTCAGCATAAAAATAATTAAGTATTTTATAGGGAGTGAATAATAATTCTCTAGTAATTCTATGAGGTGTATGTTTCAGATTGACATCTGGACATTACTAATATTGTAAATACAGAAGAGAACAGTTTGGAGAAGAAGGTTAGATTTGTTGAAAAACCATTCTGGGAAGTCTTAGAATCGATGTGGAAATTTACTGAAATACTTTTGTGTATTTCTCCATATTAAAGGTATGTTCATACCTTCTAGCAGTGAATATATTTAATACATTGGTTTGTGTGTGTGTTTGAGCCTTTTTCAAATGCACTGTGTTTCTCTCATTTCTCCCAGCTCTAATGTTTGTTCCCCAGTATTATCAACATAGTCACCGATACTGTCTCTCTGTTCTGTACAGAATGGAAATCCAACAGATTACGTTTGATACATTAGCTGGGGACTAGACCCAAGATCACAAAGATTCATCAGAAATCTGAGCAGACCTTGCTTTGGCTCTTTCTTTTTGGCTACTATTCCTAGGTAAAAATTAAGGCAATGGGAGAAGTCAGGTAACAGTCTGAGGTGCTGGATTTTGTTGGCAGTAGTTTCTGATTAATCACCTTATTGATAGATGTAATATTTATTCAGTTTTCAATATCAGATGTCTGCCTAATGTTTTGACTAAAGCAAGACCTAGAAACTGCAGAATAGAAAGAACTGCAGGGTAGAAAAATAAGAAAACTGCAATGCAGTGGCCTGGGAAAGTTGACCAAACTATTGGTCAAGCAAACAGCATCTTGAATAATAAAATTGGGTCAGCGTCTTGGTTGGAAAGGGCATTCTGATCCGTTTCTCTGTTCAGAATGCTGAACTGATATTTCTATCACACCTTTCAGCCTCTGTGAAAGACTTATTTTATTGGGAGCAGGGGACATTTTCACCAGACATAAATTGAAGCTTATATTTCTATTGCATTTTGCATGGAGGTGCCCTGTATTATATTGTGTTGTATTGCATTTGCCTTTAGATCCTTATTTTGAAGATTAAATAACTAATATTTCTGGAAGAAAGTGATTTCTCCAAGGACACAAAGCTGAAAAAGAATAGGCTTAAACATAAATCTTTTGACTGCTTATGGTGTTTGCCTGTCTGCACACTGCCTGATAGGAAGCTATGTAGAAATCACCTGTTTGGGGGCTTGGATTTCGATTAATAATTGCTCAACGTGAGTGGTGACAGGAAGCCAAAGGATTAAAGAAAGGGTGGGGAGTCTTTCTCTTTTCTTGGAGTTAATCAATGTGAAGAGAACAAAGCATTTGTGTCTAACAGTGTATCATTGGCCTTTTGTAATATCTCCCACCATTCAGCTTGTGAACTTTAAAATAGAGGAGGCTAGTCTGTTTGTTTTCTGCAGTTATGACCTTGAGTGCCAAGATTCTAATTAATTTGTCAATATGCTTCTGTGCATGTCTTAAACTATAGCAGTCAGCAAAGAAATTTTGCAATGAGCAGCTCTTTCTTCCAGCAATCCAAACACTTTTAATTTTTTTTACTAGTTATATAAACATTCACAAATAATTTCAGATAGCTTTTTAAAAGATAAGAAAAAGAGAGTAAAAAAGAAAATAAAGATGTGACTACATGTATTCTAGCAATTACGGTTAAACTTCAAATTCAGGTCAGTTTTCTGGATGTTAAGCGATCAAATTAAAAAAATAAAACAAAAAAATGCATGACCCTCTCAACAGGAAGTAAGGGGGCTACTAGTTTTTCTTATTGCTGAATCTTGAAGAGTTGACATACCGGACAATAATCTCAATAACATCTTTAGCAAGCACAGAGGAAATTTGCACATAACTGCGGCGATCAGTAACCTGTGATAAAAGTTGAGAGTGCTGAATTAAAACACTTTAATGATGGAAGTTCTGTGAGAGGGCTAAATGATATAGTTAGGTGTGTAGACCTCTCATGTTCAAACTGGTACTGAGGAGAGATTTTAACATAGTCCACAGAGTCAATGGACAACATGTTCCTTAGGTAGTCTTTACCAAGTGTTACTTTATTTAGATAAACATTTGGTTAGAGTTGGATTTCTGAGTGTTTGAAGTTGGGTTATTTGATAGGGAACTAAAGAGCTGATGTCCTATATTACTAAGTAAGGGAAAGTGAACATGGTCAGAAACTACAAGAGGTGGTAGCAGGACTGATGTTTCTTTGTGAAAATTGAGAGTCAAATTACATTCTCACCTGGGTGGAGGTCCACTTTCTCTCAATTCTGTGGTCTAAATCAGTTTGCTCACTCAACTGAACTTGTCACTGCTAAGTTTATTTAGGAAACAAAGCTCATCTCACTGTAATCCAAAGAAACTGGTAATTTATACTTACTGAATATTTGGATTTTAGTTAAAACATGATATTCAAAATGGAACTGCCGTAATCATTACCATGGATTATATATATAATGTATATATTAACGATGCAATTTTGAAGACATCTCTGAATACAATAAAATACTTGGTACTTCAAATCCATGCTTCACCAAAATGAGATTTTACGTCTTTGTAGGTGCTGCACTGAGGCAGTGTGATGGGTCAATAGGAAGATTGCTCTTGGAAGTTAGACCAATCTTCTAGTTGGCTTCTAGTCTTAACTCCATCCATTATGAGATATGTTGTCTTGAACAGCCTCTTGACTTCTCTCTGTAAAATGTGAATACTAATAGTATCCATTTCACAGAATTGTTGAGGCATTAAAACATAGGAAAGCACCATCTGGCATATAGTTGACACTTAATACATAGTTTTTACTTTTTCTCTTTCTTAATACCTCTACCATGCTCTAAAGTTGTTCATAAAAAAATACTCCTTGTTCGTAATATAGAACCACCCTTTTGGCCTTCAAATTTACAACTGATGATTTTAAACCCTCATTGTGGGAGCTAGGAAATAGGATGCACCAGACATTTTTTTTTTTCCTTTCTTTCTGACTCCTCTGAGGCAAAAACTGACTTATAGTAGGTGTTTCACTGAGGGAGGGAGGAAATTGCCTCTGGACCATGGTGACTATGCTTCCTGTAGCTCCACTTGTTATAAGGAAAAAGTTAGGATGAACACTTGCCAGGGATCCATTATTGCACTTCACAATAGGAGAAAATAGTCACTATAAATAAAGATGGAAAAATATCAACAAAGATGTAACAAGAATATAGAATAAGAGGGAAATCAGCCTCCTTGGATTGATAGACCAACCTTATTACCCAGTGTGGCATGGCCTTAGTAGTATGAGATTAACTCATGCATGTACCTAAACTAAGAATTAGAATCATAGCGTCATAAAGTTTTAGGATTGGGAATGACCTTAAAGGTTGCCCATTCTCTTGCTGTTCAAAGTGACATCCACTAATCGGCAGCATCAGCATAACCTTGAGCCTGTTAGAAATGCAGAGTCTTGGGCCCCATCTCAGACTTATTGAATCAGAATCTGCATTTCCACAAGCTTCCCAGGTTTTTCTTCTGTACACAAAAGTCTGAGAAGAACTGGCCAGGACTATACTCATCCAATTTTCATATAAGCTTCAAATATGATATCATATGTAAATATCACATATTCATCTGAGTCCTTGATAAAAAGTGTTCATGGAAGCAATGAACAAGGTTGGGGACAGAGACCTTCAATATTCCTCTGAAAAAACTCAAGCCTAATCTAAGTACCTAAGTCCACATATTATTACACATTTCAAATTCATCTAATTGAATATCATCACCCAAAGTATTTTTTCTCTACCTTTTCCACAGTAATACCATGAGAAATTTCCTCTAGCATTTTAATTGTGTAATACATCATACATACAGGAGAATACATAAAAGAAATAGGTATAGTTTAAAGGATAATTATCAAGCAAACACCCATGTAAACACCACCAAGGTTAAAACATAAATCACTGCCAGTAGCTCAGTATCTCTCTGGCATCTGTCCCCAGAAACATACTTTCACCTCCTCTCCAGTGTTAATAACCAAGGAAGTATGACTTTAGTGACCATCTCTTTCCCTTATTTTCTTTTATAGTTTTTTCAGATAAGCATTGAATCCTAAATAAGATGATCCTGTTTTTCCTATTTTTGAACATTATATAAATGGAATTCTATAGTATATGTTCCTTGCTAATCGGACTCAACCTTCTATTTGTGTGATTTATCCATATTGATTTGCTTAGCCTTATTGGTTCCTTTCCTTTTATGTTATAGCATTTCATTGAGGGGTAATTTCACAATTTATCTACTCTAAAGTTCATGGGCATTTGCATTGTCTGCTCTTTGGGGCCACTGTAGATAATACTGCCATAAACATTTTTGTGCCTGTCTCCAAGTGCATGTATGCTAAAATTTGTCCAGGCTCCCCAGCTAAGAGAGTAATCTCAGAATCATGGAGTCTCTGCATTTTTACCTTTATCTGATAATTCCAAAGGTTTCTCAAAGTGGTTCTGCCAATTTATATTCACACCTACAGAATAAGTAAGAATCTTATCATTGTCCATAACAAACCTTTTCAGATGTTGTCTTGACGAAGTCCAGGTGCACTGGGTTCTCTATAATTCTTTGATAAATCAACCTGTGGCTCTATTTGAAAACAAAAGAAAATAGAAACCACAGCTCACACCATCTTTTCATTATCCCAGTCTCTTGTGTTAATTTCTTACTCACCACTCCTTGAAATATCATGCCTTAAATCAACATCAATCCTTATAAACTCAGGTTAGAAATTCACTTTTTTTTTTTTTTTTTTGAGACAGACTTACTCTTGTCGCCCAGGCTGGAATGCAGTGCCATGATCTTGGCTCAAATGCAGTGCCATGATCTTGGCTCACTGCAACCTCTGTCTCCCGGGTTCAAGCGATTCTTATGCCTCAGCCTCCCGAGTAGCTGGGATTACAGTGGGCACCACCACACCTAGCTAATTTTTTTTTTTAAGTAGAGATGGGGTTTCACCATGTTTGCCAGTCTGGTTTCAAACTTCTGACCTCAAGTGATCTGCCCGCCTCGGCCTCCCAAAGTGCTGGGATTACAGGCATGAGCTGCCACATGCAGCCTCTAGAGATTCACTTTCTTCCTTTCCTTAGAACCCAAATTACATTTGCCCATCCCCAGGGCTCTGGTACTCCTGTTTTCTGTGGCTGCATCATCACCATAGGCAGCTCAGTCTCCTCACTTTCTCTTAGAACAGTGGGTGGTAATTAACCCCGGTCAGGAGACACGGATAATTTAAAGGCATCATTCGACAATGTTTTCATCATCTTCTATTCCTTCCTCAGTTTCAATTCCTTTTTCCCTAAGTTACCCCTTCATTCTCACTGAAAGAGGAAACAGAAACTAAGTATTAGTTTTAGTCTTTATTTTTTCTTTTTGGTCAGCCACCGAGAGTGACATTACTAGGCCAGAACAGTGGGCTTATTTCTTCTATGATTTTTTTTTATCTGAACAAAGATAAACAAAACAAATCAAACCTCAACAATAACAAATAAAAGGAACTTTTTTTTTTTTTTTTACTTTTAGCATTTGGTGGCTCATTTTAAAGTTAGCCTTCTGAACACTATTCTTATGGATTCGTGAAGGTCTTTTAAATCATCTTACTCTTTTTATTATTTTGACCTTTTCTTTTAAAAGTTAAGCTCATTGGAGAATACTGTGTGCCACCTCATTTTCTATAGGCTCTTCCCCTTTTCTTCCCTCGATGGAATTACTTCTGTTTACATAGTCTGAGTGATGTTTTTGAGACTTTTCAAATCTTTGATCTTTCTTTTTCTGTTATGAGTTACATGTCATAAATTCTGTCAACTTCTTTTCAACTTTTGAAGTCTTCCTTTCTGAAGTTCACAGTGCATGTCTGACTAAGCCTAAGCTTGATCAAAATGAGATTTAAAAAAGAAGGAAAGACACAAATCTGTGCATACTTCCTTTCTAATAAAAGGGAACCTTGGCTTCTAGAGTTTATGTGCCTCTACACTGCTTCGGTGTAAGCATGTCAACTTTAAGTACAGTAGTTCCCGCTTATCCACAAGGGATGCAGTCCAAGACTCCAGTGGATGCATGAAACGTCAGACAGTACCAAACCCTGTATATACTGTTTTTTCCTACACATACATACCTATGATAAAGTTTAGTTTATATGTGAGGCACAATAATATATTGACAATAACTAATAATAAAAGAGAACAATGATAACAATATACTGTAGTAAAAGCTTTGATAATATGCTCTCTCTCTCTCAAAATATCTTACACTATACTCACTCTCTAGTCATGACGTGAGATAATACAATGCCTACATGATGAGATGAAGTGAGGTGAATTGCACAGTCATTGTGACAGAGACTTAGGCTACTACTGATCTTCTGTATTCCTAAGTCTGTGTAACCATCCTTTACTTGCAGTAAATGGCTTGGTGTCACTCATCTTCAGGGGATCCCTTGCTGAAGAACAACAAGTTGCCATCAATAGAATGCATTTTCTGTTCATGTCTTCCACTCACAAATGTAATGACTTTTCCATCTTAACTAATCCCTTATCAGGCACAGTGGCAGTAACTTACAGTGTGAGGTGCCACAGCAAAATTAACCTAATTTTCTTCCTTTCTCACAATTTCATGAATAGAAAATTGGTTCTTAATTGTAGATCTTAGAGACCTTAGCATGTGACTTTTTTCTTTTCTTATTAACAACTTTCACCTATTGTCTTTAAGAAAGCACTTTGTGGGTTCCTTTTGGCATATTGGAGTTGCCAGCATCCCTACTCTTGTGTTTTGAGGTATAATTAAGTAACGGTTCCTTGAACACAAGTACTGCAGTACCACAACAGAATTTCTGATAACTGTGGCAGCTACTAAATGACTAATGGGTAGAAAGCATCTACAGTGTGGTTTCTCTGGACAAAGGGAGGATTCACATCTGGGATTTTATGGTGTAGGACAGCATGAGATTTCATCACACTACTCAGGAGGTTTTGCAACTTAAAACTTATGAATTAGTTATTCCTGGAGTTTTCCATTTTAATACTTTCAAACCATACTTGACCACAGGAAACTGAAACTGCACAATGTGAAACTGTGGATGAGGGGCACTACTGTAATTTTCTGCTCCCTCACCTGAGCACTTTGACCTTTTGTCCTGGCTATGCATGACCTTAGTCTGGCTTGGTAACATCAACTCTTTGTCTTTGCAAATTGTATTTCTCTTGAAACTCTTCGCTTAAGTATCTCTCTGCTTATACACACATACTTAATTTCTCGGAAGTGAAAAAAAATTAAACTTTTTGCCATTTTCCTGGTGTGAAATTTGACCTAATACCACTGAGATGACATTGCAAGCACTGGAGGAAGCTCTAGGACAGTGATTCTCAAGCTCGAGGGTGTATCTGTTAAAAAAAAAATGTTATTCAATGACACCATTAAAGAATGTAAGGCAGGGTTTATTCAGGGGGTGATCTTAGTAAGTACAGGGAGCACTGCAATGGGATTTTTCAGTGGGGGAGAGAGATAAGGCTCAACTCTGAATACAACCAACGAAAGTGCGAATTTATAGCCAAGGAGCAGGACGGGTGTTTATGATTAGAAAATTACTAAGAGGAAACATCAGTGGCAAGGGAGATTCTGGCTAAACTGAGCTGACAGGATTCCTGCTGAAGGCAGGCCAGGGTTAGTAGATATCAGCTGGGGTATAATGCAGAATGAGGAACCTGATCAGATATTGAAAGTGATCAGATACTGAGAATAAAGGATTCTGTCTAAACTGACCTAGGAGGATTCTTGCTAAAATTGGACAATGCAAACATGAACATGGAAATCCAAAAGCCAAGGCTTGGTTAAAAAAGATCTCAGAAGAGCTTGAGTAGAGTTTCTTCAAGGAGAGAATCTTTGTCAGAACAGACTCAACTGCAAGTTTATTAAAACAGCTATTGGTAGGCCCTATCCCCTTTTTCTGATTCATAATTTTTTAATATAATTTCTGATTCATAATTTCTGAATCATAATTCAGAGAACTGGCAGTTCTACCAAGTTCTCAGGTGAGTTGAGGCTGTTGGTCCAGGGAAAACACTTTGAAAACCACTGCAACAGAGTGAAATACCAGAATCTTCTGGAAGATTGATTTTCCCAATTCAGAGTGACCCAACTCATCTTTGTAATTTGTTATTATTTATAATAATAGAGTCTGAGCTGTTAGATGTATTATCATCTTCCAAGTACGTGTTTCAATGGTATATTATATGACTAGGAAAAATCATAATATTTCAATGTATTTCTCTGCAAAATAAAGAGAGCCTTATTCATCTACTACACAAATAATAAAAGGGGAAAATATAATTTCAGCGCAAAAGTAAAGAAAAAGCATTTTGCATTTGATATACATTTTGGTATACAAGAATAATAGAGCATCAGGATGAAATGGTTCAACTCTTATGAGAAATATGTCCCCGCCCCTTCTTCGGAAGGGTGAAGTGAACGCAGAATGTGTGTAGCAGCAAATGATTCTGGAAAGGAAGATACCACCCTGTCCCTGACGAGGTAGCTTATGCTCAGATACCTGTATCCAGCATGTTATTATTAGTCACTTCTTTAAGACATTTTATCTCTTAATCATTTTTTAGGAAGTGAGGAGATTAAGGAGTGAAAAGCAAAATTTTCATTGGCTGCAAAGAGAGTTTATTCTGATAAAATATGGTGCTTGTGGTAATTAGATCCGATGGAAGTGCTGGCAGATCTGGAAAATTCTGTAGTATGCCATGGCTCAGGAGTAAAAGAAATAGCAGTGAAACAAATTAAAACCTGAGTATTACTCTGGGTGAATTTAACTCTCACTTAAATGTCAACAATACTATCTCCAAGATCCATTTTATTGTTTTTCCACCCTCAGCCTTGTTCTATAAGATATTAACCAAATGGTCCCTGGGTAATCTTCATTTTTTTCCAAGGAAATTAAGAGAATGAAGTAACGGTCAACTGCCAACCTTTACATCTAGCCCCTACTTCTAATTCCTCATGTCAAGGCCCACACCCAAATGCCCCATTTATCAGGTTCGACCTGAACAACCACATGTAGTCACCCAGTAATAACTGTCCTTAGACATCTCTCCTTATCCAAATGGGCCATCACTGAGACCTAAACCTGTCATTTTAGGTCATGTGTACCTGCATTTCTTGTAAAATAAACATGACTATTATATTTGTCACACAACAGACACTGTACAGGTAATTTTAGTCAAAAGCTTACAGTATACCCAAACTTCCTGTTTTTCCCTAATATCCAGGGGCCCAGGATTTTCTACAAAATATAGTATCCACTAGGGCCATAATTCTTTAAGGGATCCTTATGTTTGACTTTTCAAAACCTGTTTATTTTATGGATGGTTACTTCAGGGACTTGCTGAAGGTGCTTTCCAAGGTAACAGATTGTTGCTCTGGACTGCCCTGCTCATGAGAAGCAAACAGCATCCAATTTAATTATTCATTAATTCCCTCCTGAATTAATATTCTTAAGAATAATTTTCCATAAAATGGTGCTCCCAACCCTATTGTCTAACACATTATCATAGCATCTCGTAGTAAAAATTTCAGGCCCAAGTAAAAGACCAACACAGGCTCTTGAAATCAATGGAAAAGATGTTTGAGAGAAGGCAGAAACTATGTAAAAACACTCAGTGTTGGTCCAACTACCCTTTTGACATGAAGAAAAAATATTAATTACCTGAATTTCATCCACCTGCCTGTGAATTTCATGTTTTGCTCTTTTCTATTGTCATGACTGGTATTACAAGTCTCCATGCATCTGGATGTAGAGTTTTCAGTAAGTATAATATTTCTTAATGCCTAGATTCACTGTGAAAAAGGCCATACATATGGCCTGGGGCGTTTTTTGCAATGTGAGCACCACAAACTCCACACTAAGTCCATTGAAGGAAAAAAGGGGAAGGCCGGTCTCACTAGATGGAGAGGTGCAGCCACAGTGACACTCCTGTTGCTGAACTTGGATGGAGGCAGATGCTCACATGGTTGGTCTTAACAGTTAGGGATGAAAGAGCACATCAGGCTCCAAAGATTACCAGAAAGGATGAAAAAAGTACAGACTGTCACATTTTTTTCAGAGGTCCAGAGGGCTTCTCACTCTCAGCTTCTTGCAATCTCTACAGAAATAAATGTGAAAAATTCTTTAATTATAATATTCCGGCTCCACACAGTTCAGGATAATGGGATTTCCCATGATACTGGAAGGAGGTTGAGCAGAGTAACCTTTGAGAGATGATTTACTGTAGTGGCTATAAGTTGATTTCAAATTTTTGAATTTCATGTATAAATTAGACCAATTGGTTTCTTTTTATAATCATAACCCTGTCCTTTTCTGTTCAGAAAAGACACACAATTCTAAAAAAAATATTTTTAGCTGATAAGATGCTTACAACTCTTTGTTCAATAAGTAAATTTTGAGAGCTACTTTAGTGTAGACAATTGCAAAACAAAAGAAAACAAAATCAAACACCGATTCCACCTTCAAGGAGTTTCCAGTAAAAAGGTAGAGAAATAAAAATAATGAAAATGCCGTTTAATAATGACAAATGTCATTGGAGTGATTCAGAAACTACCACAAGACATTAGAGGAAAGAGATTTATTTCAGTTTAATGTTCTTAAAAATTATTATGTCAATTCTAACTTGGTATGCCACAGATAAAAAGTTTCCTTGCAAATAAATTGACAGAAAATTCTGAAGTTTCCTCAGAAATACTGTAGCTTTAATGGACTTATTGAACAACTTAAAAACATGTCCATTTTATTATAACCAGAAAATGTATTGTCAAAATATTCTTAATACAATATGTTATTGCTTTGTAAATAAGAGCTCATTTTTATAATTCTTGATTACTTAATTTCGCTTCTGTCTATTTAAAGTGTTGCTGTGTCATATTAAGTTAGAATTTTGGAAATGTCCCTTCCCACTACATAAACACACACACACACACATACACACGCACACACACACACGCATACACAGAGAGAGGGAGAGAGAGAGCGAGCTATTTTTCTCCTTACAGTATACTGCTGACTCATGTGGCCTTGAATAATCAAGCTACTCTTTACAAATAATTCTTAGCATATTCAATGACCTAATCTAACACCACTCTTTTTATGACTATTTCCATCTTTACAGATGTCTGGCTACGAAACAGGAAATTTGTGAGGTCATCTCTAAGGATTTTCTTCATATTGCACACAGCAGAGAAGAATGTTTTTTTTTCATACACACTTTCTTTTAACTAGTTTTTAATATCTGAGATAAATTTTCTACAATGTGTCATTGCTTTATAATGAGCACATTATCCAAAAAAAAAATGCCTGGGGTTTGTGGAGAATAGCCATGTCAAGGACAGAGGGTACATCATTATATTAAAATGCAAATTTACCATTAAAAGGCAAATCCTTCATCTCAAATGTTGAACAGGATGCAACTTCAACTTGACTGGAGGGAATTCAGTGTTTTAGGCATCGAAAACATATTCCGACTGAAAACTATTCTTAGGATCTGAATCACTTTTATTTCAATGAATTGGAAAATATGAGTGCATTTTAAGCCCATGTCTTATAAAAAAATCATTCTGAGATACTTAAACAAATGTCAGCAAATGGGTTGTCATCCCTTAGAATTTCTCCTCTGCTTAATATATTTTCCCATCCCTTGTTTAATGTATTTTTGGGGAAATGCTTCATCAATGGAGACTATACAAGAGGTGTTACTATTTTGCAGTACTGTTTGCCTCCCTGAATTTTCCCGAATGTGTTTTCCCTATTCCCATGGATTCCCCCCACGGCTTCTATTCTCACATTCTTCACTCTCTCTGGACAGGTATGGCTTTAGCCACAGTCTGTAAGCTGATAACCTATGCCATTTTTATCCTGTTAATGAAAAAATTATTCTTAACACTTGTTAAAGAAAGTAATTATTCTTTACTCAGAGGGACACTATTGTGATAGGTGCAGGGACCACTGCAGTGGGGTCTTGCAGCAGGGGAGAGAGATTGGGCCCAACGCTGAGTACAACATGGGCAGAAGGTAATTTACAGTCAAGGAGCAGGGTGTGGGTCACTGGATGAAAAATTACTAACAGGCAACATAGGGATAAGGGGGCTTCTGGCTAAACTGATATGATAGGATTCTTGCTGAAGGCAAACTAGGATGTTTAAACATTACCTGGTGAATGGTGGCAGAGGAGAAACCAGATGTGATTAGAATTAGACTAGATATCAAGGGGTGGGAAATGGAGGGGTAGGGGTAAGGGTCTTGCTAAAATTGAATTTTACAAGAAAGTGCACAGATTAGCCTAGGAGAAGGTTCAGGAGCCTGACTTAAGTTTCCCTGAGCAAAGAATCTTTGTCAGTTTCGCCTTTTGTTCAGGAAAAGAGACATTCTCCTTTCCTTGGAACAACATAAGTCCATTGTTCTCATCAGATAGTCTTATCCATTAAAGACTTTCTGAGTCACCTTTTGGGACTTCGTAATAGAGAATATTTGCTGGATGGTACAAGCAGTCAGCCATTTAATTAGGGATATTTCTATGAAAATAAAGAAAAACAAAGATTAATAGTTAGAAACCCAGTTTCTGAGTTCAGAGGGCAGTCAGTAGAGAAGATTTCTAGATGTTTGGTTGGTATCACTGCAGTTTATTTCTTGTTAAAGAAAAACTTATTTTATTAGATGGTGGAGGATGATGGAGTGAGGATGGCAGTGACAACCTGAGAAATTTTCTGACTTGCAGTTTGAATTGTTCAGTGATATTACTGGGTATTCTGGTGAATGTTCTGAGTGGCCTACACAGCAGCAGACATGAAAGTTGCCTACACATGATTTGTGATGGTGATTGACTTGGAGTTTATATCAAGTAATCCAGCTTCAGCTTGCAAAATCCTGGAAGAGAGCTGTTTTCATTTTTAGTGGTGCTAAGTCAGGAAGGTAGGATAAAAATTAGAATGTTAGTTTCAAGAGTTGTAGCCAGATATTCAAGAAAAGTAGAATTCAGAATCTAGTCCTGTTTACAGGTAAATAACAAAAGCTTAAAGATAGCAAACAGGACTAAAATTTAATACCCTCAAAAGTGTGCCATAATTTTCCATGGAAACATAATTTTTCTCTCTACAGTCACCCTTGTTTCTATCAAATACAATAAATTACAGCAAGACTAATATAGTTGCAAAATATGTCTTGTCTCATTAAACATGGCCTGATTATTTACATAAATGCAAAATAAGTGGTCATTGACTACATAGACCTTTTTTTCTTATTTATTTATTTCATTTATTTTATTTTTAGTTTGGTGGGTAATATTCATAAGGGATCTCAGATCAGACTTTAAAATCCTCTCAAGGATAGGAAGCCAAGCCAGACTTCACCTGTAGTACCTATAGATTTGGGTAACTTCTCTTCTTGAGGTCTCTAAGATGTTCTGACTTTCCTGGGCCTACCAGAAAGTGACATTCCTTACTCACTTGTAATGCTGGAACCCTGTAAGTCAACTACCTTGGCTTTTCAAGGGACATTGTAAGCTTTAGCTTCATAAAGTCAACCTTAGTTTCTTAAAACTCTGTGGTCATATCTGATTTTATGCATCATTTTCAAGTATAATACTCTAGTCAAAACCTTGGTAATGTAACCATTGTTTCTACTTATGTCCAGAAGAACAGATTCTGTTTGAACTTATGCAAATAACTGTATTGCCATGAAAAATAAGAACACTCAATAAGCGTTTCTGAATTCTGGAAAGATCAGATAGGGAGAAAAAGCAATCGTTTCACCTTTTTTCTCAAAGGCATATTTTACTAAATGGCTACAAATTATAGAAACTTAAAAGAAAAGGAAGGGATTATTTAAGTCTAGAAAATTTAACATTTAAAAATAGCAAAATTTCAAGCAGAAAAGCCATAGGAATTAAAATTGTCCTCATCAGTTCTTTCAGTTTCATATGATTAATTTTTGTTCTGCTTGATATTGGGCTAACAATTTTATCAATCCATCAGTTTTTTCATTAGTTGTGGAAATTTTTTCTCACTTCAGTAGCATGGTCTCAATGTTATCAGAGATTTGTCTTTCATAGTACTGTATATGTCAGAGTTTTTTATAAATCTCTTTGAAGATGAAGCATTTGGCTTAGAATTGATTACAAATGCTTTCAGAGAAAAATCAAAGTAAAAAACTATCTGTAGTGACAACAGATTTAAAATTGTTCAGGTTAAGAATCTGATGAGAATTTTCCGATAAGGAAATTTGGTTATTTCTGTGGCATGTAATGTTTAAAACAGTAACCGGAATTATGATTGATAGTATTATACCAGCACATATCAAGTTTGTAGGAATTTCATAGAACTTCTGGAACACATATTAATAACATGTAGTCATACAAACATCATATAAAGAAGATTTAACATTATTCTTATTTGACAGTGCTTCCCATATAATTTATTATAACAAATAACTGAATTATTTTTAATATCTCATTTTACAGAGTGAAAGAGCAAATCCTTTGAGATTTTCTGGGGGCCACCTGAGAAATCTCAAAGTTAGTTTGAGGTAAAAAAGAACTTCATTTAGAATTTAATTTTTGGAAAGTTTATCAAAAATGTCAAAAGCCTTAAATATTTGATTAGGTGAGTTGTCAGATTACTATGAACAATATTTGGGTTATCTTAAATAATCAAGAACATGATAAAGGTTGACACAAAGCAAGGGAAATTATTTTGCTAAGACACAAAATCTTTGATTTATAGGAAGATTATTTAAAGGGTAAAGAAAGCCCTTTAATTTCTTATTAAGAACAGACCAAAAAAATCCAAAAATACTCGGTTACTTAGAGAAAAAAACAAATTGTAGTTTTGCACCAGTGCACTTTTGATATTGTCTTTAAAATTTTTTTCTTTCTTTAAACATAAATGAATCCATTTAAATTTTAGCTAGCTTCATCACACATAAAATTCCTTTTTCAAGATTTCTTTTCCACAGACCTTCTATGACTTTTTTATATCCACTCAATTTTTGTCCTGTATTTTTCCTCTTTATTATTCTTGAACAACCAGTCATTCTACTTTAAAGCAAAATTACTCACTTTTAACCTTAGCCAAATCAAACCTTTCATACCTCATATATTTTCTCATCAAAAAAAACAAAAGAGAAACATCCTAGGCCAATTGTGGTGACTCATGCCTGTAATCTTAGCACTTTGGGAGGCCGAGGTGGGCAGATCACTTGAGGCTAGGTGTTCGAGACCAGGCTGGCCAACAATGCGAAACCCTGTCTTTACAAAAAAATACAAAAATTAGCCAGGCATAGTAGTGTGCATCTGTAATCTCAGCTACTGGGGAGGCTGAGGCACGAGAATCACTTGAACCTAGGAGGCCGGGGTTATAGTGAGCAGAGATCGCACCACTATACCCCAGCCTGAGCAATAGAGCGAGACTGTCTCAAAACAAAACAAAAAACCAGAACAAAAAAACCACATCCTGGTTTCCTTGCCTGCTTTTTATATACGTTACTTTCCTTCACCCTTATTATTTCTGGTAGTTTTGATTACATATGTTGAGAGAAAATTAGGAAGTAGACAGTTGTGAATTGTCTTTCCCATACTAGGAGTCTATAGCAAACTAACAAATGTTATTAATATAACATTGCAGGTTTCTCATAGTCATACACTTCTTCATAGTACAATTCTTCATGTTTACCAACAGACCCAAATATATTTATCTTATCTATGCAATATGAAAACAAGATGCCAAAAGTTTATGAACTTTAATTTATATTCATTAATGAATGTTCCAGTAGTTTATGTTAGAAATGATCTAGATTTATAATAAATATCTGTTACTTAGCATAACTCTAAAGTTGCAAGTTAACAAGAGATTTTGGAAACAATTTTAAGGTAGACATATTATAACTTTACACAAAGCTACCCATCATCTCAAGCTATTTTCCTGTTACCTATTTTTAACCTTATTTGCCTAGTAAACCCAAACAGAATTAAAATTTGTTTATGTTATAGTAATACTGACAATTTAAAAGATGTAGTGTTTTCATTAAACCAATAATACTAAGTTAATCTTATTTATCAATGTTTTACCAAAGTCACATGAACTGGAAAAAAACATTTGGGTTAGTTTTTATGTTCCTGGGAGTTTAAGGAAGATTTTATTTATAATAAGCACTTATTTATCTCTTAGCCAATTTGAATAGAACTTTTTAAAGGGATTCCATTAATTAATTTGGTAGTGTTATCTGGATGTAGAAGAAAAATATTACATATACATATCATATATACATACACATGTATAAACATACATAAACATATAGACAGATGTAAACAAAAATCTTATCGCTTTCATTCAAAAATTTTAGCCATGACTCAGTAGAACACAGTAATATATAACTTACCGGTTCATATAAAATAGTTGGCTCTCATCTTTTCTCCACTTTACTTTTTTATCTGAATTGTATTTCTTACCAAAAAAAAAAATGGGACAAATTGAGGTTATGTACTCAATAAGAGCAAAAACTTTTTACGAATAATCATCAAGAAGATTTTTAATATTTTCGTCTGCCCCAATATGTAATCTTGTGGAGGCTATGGACTATCTTTTAGGCTGAGGGTACATCTAGCAGCTGTCTAGGTGTCTCCAAAGCCCATCTGAGTGGATGAAAGATCCAATCTATTTCCAATTAGATGGTTTTCTCTTTCAGTCTCAAGTGGTTGTTTTTGAGAGACCCTGAATCCCTTGAGAGCTTCCAGTGGAGCATAGGGGACCTAAAGCCCCAGTGAATGTAGGGAGCTAAGGAACCAAAGTGTGAAGGGAAAGGTCTGGCAGGAATTGGCAAAGGAATAGAGGCAGAGATGGGTTTGAAGGGGACATATAGAAGAAGGTGGTAAGAGGAAGGGTGAGGAGAGAAGTTGATGGGAAGGGAAAGGACATAGAAGAATGACTCTCAAGAGATCCTAAGTTCCCCAAAGAGACCACTGAAATTCCAAATTGTCTGCTGCAAAATCATGTTAACAAAAAGGAGATGGACAAAGCTGGCAAAACATATCGTTAGTAAGGGTTTGAGATGAAAGGCTTCAGTTGACTAAGAAGTTCCCATGAGGAAGCCAGTATCAAATATAGTGAACAAAGAAACCTCACAGCCAGCCAGGAAGAAAGACTTCTAGCCCAGGGAGTCAGGGACTAATTCCCACTCAGAACAAGAAGCCATGAACACTTTCCAGCCCAGGAGGTTTCTTTCAAAAGAAGCTTGCTACCAGAAAGAACTTCTAACACACATATCTCATCAGATAGTTTTAAAGATTTTCAATGGTCACTATGCCAAATTCCTTAGGGTGATACAGAAGACCTTTCTAATGTCTCCCTCAGGTTCATACTTATTGTCTGTTCTGGATGAGCAATAGCTGTGAGGTCATGTTCAAATTGCTGTTGGAGAGAGTGGTAGGAGTCATTGCCCTTTAAAACTAGGGAGATCTCTTTATTTTTCCAATTGAGTAGCCCTGTCCCTGAGTGCCATTCCATTCCTTCAGAACCTCTCTCAGTATTTTCTTGCAAACAGCTCCAATGAGGTCCAGGCAACTGCCAGCTCCAGTTCTGAGAAAGTGTTATTTTGGGGGTGTGTATGTTATTATTGGTATTTTTAACAATGCATTGACACAGCAATATGCATTTGAAAAGACTTATCCTAAATACCTGCTTATGTAACAAATTACAGGGCTATTGCTTCAAATAGCCCTGATCTTTCAGTCAAAGCAGACACCCACTTAGCAAGTTAATTGTTCCTCCACAAAGTACTTCCATGTAAGTGAAGAATGTTAGATTGTTTTCTTTATATAATCTCTCTAAAGAAGAGAATCTTTGCCCTTATTCATATGGGGTGACATAGTCACCTTGAATTCTCTGACTACTTGCAAAATTATAGGAAATTAATCTGTGTTGCAATAAGGGAGAATGACAGGCAATGTTTTTAAGAACAATGGACCAAATTTTTATATTTTTGTGCCTGTAGCTTTGTTTATAACAGGTGCTGTCAAAAATTAGTTTTTTCTCAAGTGTGTTAAATTGGGAGCAACGTCTCTGTGTACCTTTTATTGTATTTGCATTTCCCACTGTGTATTTTTTCTTGTCACTTTAACATTATCAGGTCATTTCAATTAAGATATCTACCATCCACGGGGAAGATGAAATACATTGAGTTTATCTTAATACTGTACCAGACACAGTGTTCTTGCCATTCTTGAGCAAACATCAGTGATGTCTGTGACATGTTACAGTGTATTATAAAGAATGTTTAATATCTATAGCAAGAATGAAATATTGCATTGAAACAGATATATTAAAATTAAAGTTTGCTGCAAATTATTTTGATGAGGTTATGTTTCTCTAGCAATCCAGTAGAGTGTTCAAATAATGGGGCAGCAAAAACAAAATGAAACCGTGTGATGTAGAATCATGTCATCTGGCTTTTGCATACTACCATTTTATGTATGAAATTTAAAGATAGGTGATAAAATAAAGCAGCTTTGAGAAGCTCCTTCATGCCTGCACCAGATGCTTTTAATTATAGAAGGATCCTTCAGTGGAGAAACTTCTGTACTGTGGAATCAGGAGGTTTGGTTCTTACTTCCATCTTGCAATCTTGCCTGCAGAGAACGCCACAAAGCTTCAGGCACTCTTTCCACTATGGAGCTTGTCCCATCCAGAAGCCCCATCTGTTTTGTGCCTGAAACAAAAGCAGATGGCAGTGCTGACACGAGGCCTGACTCTAAGTCCCAAGGGATCATAGAATGCCTACAGTGAAGGAGGGTAAATTCTGTGAGCTCAGTTGTCCCAGCAAATTTACCTTCACAATGAATTGTTTTCCAGAGTAGAGAAAGCCTATGTCTAGGTGGTCATTTGAAGTATATTAGAAGGAAAATTGAACCAACTTTTTTAGGTTTCTCCTAAAATTACCAGGCAGAGTCTGCCTTTCAAACATGTGTTGACCTAAGAGCAAGTTCTAGGTCGTGTTGAGAGTGGAACCTCCTGGACTGGAACAGACACAGTTGGAATCTTTCGTTCATTTTAGCTAAATACACCCTACTTAGAGAGTCCTGGACACTTTCTGTATTTGTAATGTAAGCTGAGGGTTGATAGAATATTGCTTGTGTCAAGAGCCATGATTTGTTTTTATTTATTTTATTTAAGTTCAGTGAATCATTCTATCATAATTTTGTAATGAGGTAATAACTGTTGATGGAGCCCTACAAAATAACAGACAGGGTGCTATCTCTCATCAAATATCATCAAACATAATTCTTATAATAAAGCTTATGAGCTAGACAGTCCCATTTTATAGCTGAAGAAAGACACTTAGAGACTCTAAGTAATTTTGCAAGGTCACAGCAGTCGTAAGTGCTCAAGTCAGCATTCAAACTCAAGTTCTCTGAATGTTAAAGCCAAACCACTACTGCAAGCCATATTGCCTGTGATGCCAAGGTGGTTTTGCCATCATTGCTATGGTAACCAGGTCATATGACCCCTAGCATGAACTATGGGTCTTTCCTCTGAAGACCTTGAAAGAGATTTCAGTCTATTTCTTAACACCTTGTAAGAACAGTTTTGGGAGCATTCTCTATGCTAAAGTTTTGACCTTTTTTAAAAAAGGTAGTTATTTGTGAAGAAAAAATATTGATTGCTAAATTATGAGAAACCGAGCTGCTGAGACTAGGCCCTATTTGGGAACATTCAGAAGAAAATTAAAACCAACCTAAAAGAAGAGTGCAATTTCCATTGGAAGTTTTGTCTCCAAACCTCATGAAATAGGAGGTAGGCGATATCAGAAGGGATACAATTAGGAGGGATATTTATATGTGATAGCAAGAAGCTGCATTCATGCTTATGTAGTGGTGGCAGTTAAGCTCTCCAGGGCTAGAATGAGCATTGTCTTGATTTAAATTGGCCTAATTTTGACTACCAGACTCACAAGTGATGACTGCTTTCATTATAAGGAGACTATCTAGCTTAATATTTTTCTCTATTGCATAAAAATCTAAGTAAATCAATTGTCAAAACCTTTTGGGGTTATCCGGTCATATTTTCTTTGCTCATTGTAACTTACTACCACTGGACTTATTAAGGTTACCATATTTTCAAAACAAAAATGGGGATATATGATAAATAAATGTTTTTAACTTGCAAACATTATTAATTTAAAAATCTCACAAAAGTATAAAACTAAAAACACACGTAAAGAAGTCATCCATGAATTGATCTCATTCAACAAATGAAATGGCACGAAATTTTACCTTCCTTATTAAAGCTAGTCCAAACATATTTAACATAGTTTAATGTGCTGCTGACTTATTTCCTTGCTTACAACATATTTAGCTTGATTGGGTCACTACTCTCCTACATCAGGCAAGTATTTGTAAGTGGAATGCAAGCTAACTTTAATATTAGCCTTAAACAAGACAACCAGAAAGGCAATGCTTTTTTTTTCCTTTCAAGAAATTAAAAACAAAGAATTATTTTCTAAGTATATAATGATTTTTGGTTAATCTTTTGTAATAAGTTAAATTATCAGGTGAAACACATACACTTTGCTTTTGAGTTAATTTTTCATTCAGGTACCTTACAAATTTAAAAACAAAATTTAATTTACCTTCCAAAGGCATTGAGGTGCTCCTTTCCTAGATATCCAAGAGTATGGAATTTAATACAAAGACTAGGCTATGCACTTGACTAAAATACATCACATCAGCCCAGAAAATGTTAACACTCTTGCAAAGGTAAGCTGTTGCACCCTCGTCTCCTATTCTGAGAAAAGTAATATTTAACTTCCACATGGAGTGGAAGATAAGAGCATACTTACTTTCTTGGCTTTATTAAAAGACTTTCAATTATTTTAATATCTTTGAAGCTGAATATCTTGGTTATAGTAAGGAACAATTGTACAGACCTCATTAGAATGTATATCACACACTGTATTTTCAAAGCATGTCTGTCCTTTTGGGGATTAAAAATAAAAGGTAATTTAGCAAAGATAAAATGGACTTAAGCAAGTGTTGTATTCTTTATCTAGTATTTTACTGACATAATTCAATAATTATCCCTCACTGTGGCTTTGAGGTAGTTATCTTTCAAATAAAGGAAGGAGAGAGATGAGAGAGGAAAGAGGAGGAAAACAGGGAGAAAGGGTTAGAGAGAGAAATAAAGGGAGGGAGAGGGGAAAGAAGAGGAGAGGGAGAAAGGAGATAGAACAAGGAAGAGGGAGGGAATATTTTTCACATAGTAGGACAATGAGATATTAAAATCTCAATCATATTCAGTAAAGATACAAGGGTGTCACTTTTGTTTTATCAAAAGATTAAGACACAACTAACTTCACTCCCAAATGTAAATAAAGGCTACGTTATTGATTTCACATTCTTTCTTATGTGCATTCCTGTACATTTCCTTGAGATATGTACTCCATATTTGTTTCATTTGGCTTCAGAAAGGTACCACCTTCATCCCCTATCTTCAGTGAACTTAGAAGTCTAGTTGGAGAGATAAAAAAGATACACAGAGAACAACAGTAAAAGACAATATGCATTAGTAATCCGAAGACGTTTCTTTGAGAATAAAAATTTGATATAACCTTAGACAGCAAAGCAAAATAGAAATTAGAAAAGTGGACTTCATAAATGACAGTACTGTTTCCAAACTACATAAATCAATGGCATATTTCCTAGAAGTTGTATTCAACTTCATATTCCAGACTTCAGCAATTACAACTATCTGTATAATCCAAGAAAAAAAAAATAAGCTAGCTTTCACTTAGCATGATAGTTTATGCATAGCAAATACTCAAAAAATAATTATTGTTTGGTTGGTCAAATGATTTGGCCTTGTTTATGAAATTAAAGAAAACAAATGTATGAGATGGAAAGGTACAAAGGCAAAGATTAAAAAGAACCTTATGTGGGCCAATTCAGAAGTCAAGTTCAATACCAGGAGAGTGATATTGAGCCAACAAGGTCCCCATGATCTTTTCTTTGAAAAGAAAACACCATTTAGCCAAGTGCAAGGCCAGATCAGCTCAGGAGTTAAGTGTGTGTTAGCACTTTTCCCTACCATTAGCAGCCAGAAATCTGTTGCTATTCACTTTTAGAGGTAAAATACTATCTTTTATTATGTCTCAGTGGGCAAAACCACAGTCTTTCATGAAGCAGAAAAACTTGTTTCTACTGTAGTATGTATAATATACTATCTATACTAAAGAAAATATAGATTTTATACTATTTTTAAAAATAGGATTTTTTAAAAGACAGTATAAAATAACCTAACCAAGAAATCGGAAATGACCTATAATCCTATATTAAAAACAACTCAAGTTTAGTTAGACAGATTGCTTAGAACTTGAGCCTGGGCACAAGGGAATCCTGATTCTTGATCCTTCTTCCTCTCCCATTGCCTAAGTGAAATTTGTTATTTTTGTTGGTGAGTCAATCAAATTTTGTAATGATAATATAAAATAACCTAACAAAGAAATCAGAACTGACCCATAATCCTATACCAGAAACAAGCCAATGTATTTCCCTTGAATATTTATATATATATACATTTATTGTTACATAGTAGTGGAGATCATGCTGTAATGTGTATAGTTTTGCAGCCCCAGCACGTATCTTCACTCTTCAGTAACGTCTTCTGTATTGTAAGTCTCCATGCTGCTTTATTCTCTTAGCATTTTATTTATGTGCTTTGTCTCTAAACAAAAATATAAACTCTTCAAAGAAAAGACTTTATCCTCCCTTTATTTGTCTTTATCTTGGTTTCGACATGCAGGATAGCAATGCACTTTCCCAGATATTCACTACATGTATTATTAGTTTGGTGCAAAAGTAATTACGGTTTTTGCCAACGAAAGTAGCAAAAACCGCAATTACTTTTGCAGCAACCTAATATTTGTTTTAATTGATTGAATTTATGAGAATCATTAGAATGAGTAGATCACTTTTAACAACTTTCATAATTTTAGAAAGTAAATTTTTTCCAAGAATCCCTCAACACTCCAGAAGTGGTGGTTCTTTGGAAAAAGCCCAGGTATGGGAAAAATTTATTTTCAGAATAGTGTGCATTCCATAAGATCTGAAAAACCTCTTTTTTAATGTTCCCATAATCAGTTAGGTAAGTCTTGCCTTAGACAAAGCTGTAAGGAAGGAAAAAAAATCATGCCATGCCCTATCTCTAGTGCTCATAGCCATCCCCAAGGCATACCTGGAGTTCATTTTTCACATTGCAGCGAAAGAGAGCTTTGGAATAAGCAAATTTCACAATTTTCACTGCCAGTGTCCATCTCTGAGAAATCACTCTTCTCTTACCCTCCTTCATTATATATTCCAGTAATTCTCCAAGTCTCAGGAATACAACATGCTTACTTACACAAAGGGCAGATCTACACCTTTGTGTATGCTGTTTCCTCTGCTTAGAAGACCATTTCTTTCCATGTCCACCAACCAAATCTTCCAGCTTTATTTGGATAATTGATATTTATGATTCAGGACTCAGCTAAGGTAACATCTTCTTTAGAAAGCCTCCTTAGTACCCACTAAGTTAGGCGATTCCTTCTCAGTGCTCTCTTGACATCTTGTGTTAATCACTGCCACAGTACATATATTATTATTTTTTTTTTTTTTGAGACGGAGTCTCGCTCTGCCACCCAGGCTGGAGTGCAGTGGTGCCATCTCAGCTCAGTGCAAGCTCCGCCTGCCGGGTTAACGCCATTCTCCTGCCTCAGCCTCCCGAGTAGCTGGAATTACAGGAGCCCCCCACCACGCCCAGCTAATTTTTTGTATTTTTAGTAGAGAAAGGGTTTCACCATGTTAGCCAGGATGATCTCAATCTCCTGACTTCATAATCCGCCCTCCTTGACCTCCCAAAATGCTGGGATTACAGGCGTGAGCCACAGCGCCCGGCCAGTACTTATATTTTTTTAAAATGCCTGCCTACTTACTTATCTTTCCCTGACCCCACACCATAGGCCCTTTGAAGACAGGCACTGTAGCTGTCTACCACTCTATCCTCACCCCACACCATAGGCCCTTTGAAGATAGGCACTGTAGCTGTCTACCACTCTATCCTCGATAGCGGTATAGCACAGAGCATGTGCTCACTGAATCTTTCTTGGATGAATAAACAGTTGCCTCTTTCCTTGCCTCTTTCCACCTGTGCTGTGTGTCACATCCTTGGGTACCCCCACATATTCACCACACTGGCACCCCATGAAGGTACCTAGAATGCCGAAGGTTCTCATCTTCCGTAACTTTCTTGTTTCCATGAGGATGTTTTGAGCTCTACTCTGAGTTTTGCCTCCCCAATTTGTCAGTGTGATCTACTTTTCCAGTCAAAGGTGTTAATGTTCCAGATGTCATAGTCCTATAGCCTCTGGTTGTAAACTAGAGCCTTTTTAGAAGAGAATTTCTTAGTCCAAAAGAAAGGCAATAATGGCAGGACTTTTAATCTTTCTACTGAAGGGGGACATTATACATAGGGATTTGCTGCTTTCCTCAAATGCTCCTGCGTTAGTGGTGGCCAACTTCTCTTATGTAGGTCAACATCAGAGCTAAGTGTTGTTTGATATCGGAATGCCTGCTTTTAAGAACCACTGTGATCTCTTTGTGAAAGACTCATTCATGTAAGAATAGTAATATTGCTTTTTATGGAAATACTAGTATTTGATAAGCAAATGGTAGAGAGAATACTGGTAGACATCTGGGGATAAAATGAATTTTACTATCTAAGAAATAATTTAATTCATCTGGGCTACAGAGGTGATTTATATCTAGGTAAATTAGGGCAAATTCCTTATCCTTCTCCATTTGAGAAGAACTCTCTCCAGAGATTACTCAAAGAAAGGGCAGACACATGACTTGGTCTAGCCTCAGAAGAAGATAAAATGCTTCTTGTTTCTATGGAAATGAACACTGGTCATTTTGTGTTTTCCCTTCCTTTTTATTTCTTTTATTTTTTTCTCTTGGGGCAGATTTCTGCAGCATACTATGTAGTGTCTAATGACTTTACCACCAATGAATCATTAACTATAGGGAAGGTAAGACCTTTAGCGATAATGTAAGCGACACTTTTTATTTTGGAGATGAGGGTGCTGGCATTCAGAAAAGCTGAACAGCATGTCTTCTGTCACCCGGCGGTATAGTAGCAGAAATGGAACTTGAAACCAGGAGTCTTGGCCCTGTGCCCTATGTTCTTTCCACCATATTACAAACATTTGCTGGGAAATATGGAATAATCTTAGATGGATAAGTGAATAAACAGTATCATTCAAGCATTTTATTTATAACGTATGTTAATAGAAATAATAGCCAATTATTTCTGAGCACTATTCTAAATACTTATCATATATCCACACATTCAATCTTCTCAATGCCTATATAATTCTCATTTTAACCAATAATAAAACTGACACACAGGGAGCTTAAGACCCTTGCACATCTTGTCAGTGTTGAGTTTGGGACTCTAAGCAAGGCAGTGGATTCTTGGCTCTGTGTACATAACCATTACGTTATAGTACCTATCATTAATATATACATATAAAAATTATTCAAATATATGGGCAGTTGTGTTAAGAATGTGGAGTCAGACACACGAATCAAGTGATTGGCTGTGCCACTTAGTAGCAGTATAACATTTCTTTCACTGTATCCTCTCTCTTGGTCCCAATGTCCTTATTGTTGACTTGAGGCTACTCCAGTATAGCACTTCTTCATAGAGCAATTGGAAGAGTTGCCTAAGATAATGAGAATAGAATTCTTATGTCTTAGAACTGATTCTACCACATGTGTTAAAAATTTCCAACCAAGTCCCAGTTAATTGATATGTTGGAGTTCTCTTTTAAACTTATTTTATATTCTGGATGGCTAGAGTTTTTATTTTATTTCAGCAATACAGAAATCTTGTTTTTTTAATCTTCTTCTTTGAAAAACATGTGAACTACATCACGGCCTTTTTCTAGCTTACTAATGTGACAAAATAAATTGAATTTATTACTTATTTAGGGCATGTTAATGCTTTAAAGTCTTCATTTTGAGAATGACTTTTGATTCTTCTTTTAAAAAATAAATACCTTGTACAAACTAGGTATTTCTCATTATTTTCTCATTTCTACTAAATATGAAGTTCTGGTGTGGAAAATAAAGATAACCAATATTTTCATTTAATCCTAGTTTATGTATATACTTGACCCTGGTAATAAAACAAAGATATATAAGTTAGAAAATAAATATGAGGAAAAATCTGATTAAAAAAAGAAACAATATTCCTTTGGAAATGTCACCATCTACTAAACACAGGAAGACTTTCTTTTCAGTGATAAAAAACAACTAACCATCTAAAACTTTCCAATATCTTTGCAGTGTCTGCCTCATGGAAAATCAATGAAATCTGAATTGCAATTGTCTTGGACAAAAGCTGTGCTGTCATATTATCTTGCAGTCACAGAAAGTGTCTGAATGCCAACCTAGTACATAGGAGGAACAAATACTGTACTTGCTCTCCTATAGTTTCAAACCATCATCAAGTAATTTTTTTCTCTGCACTATTGTCTGTGACATTAATGTCTCCATCCTCTCTTATCACTTTAATTTTTTTTAATCTTCTCTCTGAGAGTTTAGTTTTCTACTCTAGAGCTATTGAAAGCTCTGCATTGAGTGGGAGTAATTTTTAAAGCTACAGAACAGTAACCTGAAACTAAATAAGAGCTTTCGAACCCAAGATTTTTTTTTTCTCTTCAGCATTACTGCTGCTGGAGAGATAATGTGATGAGATGATTTATGGCCGTGAGATAGCATCATGACCTGTAATTCCAATGATTCACCTTGGAACAATTTACCTACTAGAAACTGCCTCAGCTGACATTTTCTTATGCTGCATCAAGAACCTGAAATACTACAGGGACTTCCTAACTGAGCTCTTTCCTTTAGAATCACCTTTACTTCCTAAATCATTTTCCACAGTGCAATGAGAGTGAGAACTTTTGAAAGTAAATCATGTCATTCGCTTGCTTAAAACTCATCAATGGATTTGTATTGAAGGATAATTAAGTCCAACTCCTTAATAAGGCTTTCATGGCCTTTACTGAAGAGGCCCTGCTGCCTTCTGTAGCCTCAAATCCTATTACTCCCTTCAGGTCCCTGAGCATCTTACGCTGGCTTTTGCCTGCGGGCCATGATACATGCAAATTCTTTTTTCTGGCACTCCCTAAGTCCCCCTGTCTGTTGACTAGCTTCCTGCACATGCTTGGTGTGCAGCAAAAATGAAAAAGAAACATATTTGGGGGAAATATTATACTAGAATAAGCAGACTGAGAAAGAGATGTTGTTGTTTCTTTTCTGTATCAGCCTCAAATTTCTACATATGCCTCTTTTCATTTGAGTTCCTACTGTTCTCAGGCACCTTGATCTGTCTCCTACTTGTCCTGGTCTTAGCAAACTAGTCTCTAAAAAGTAACCTATAATTAGTTATATATATCTTAAGGTGAATTTACTCAGCTAATAAATATTATGGAATGTTTATTACACATCAGGCTTTTTCTAGGCACAAGGAAATTATCAGTGAACAAAACAGGAAAGATGTCAGCTTTCAACAAGCACACACTCTAGCAGAGGACACAAAAAGGAGCAATTAAATGATAAAATAAGATCATTTCAAATAGAAATCATTTGTAGGAAGAAGATAAAAGGTCTATGCAATAGAATGATTGCAAGGAAGGCTGGTTTAGGTCTTGTGGGTCAAATATTTCTTTGAAGCTAAGTCCTCGGTGACCAGGAAGTAGTCTTGGCAGAAGAAAGCATTTCAGGCAGAGGGAACAGCTGATGCAATGATCATAAGGTGGAAATTAACTTGGTTTCTTCAAGGAATAGGAAGAAAGGTTAAAAAAAATAGTTGGAGCAGAGTTCATGAGAAGGGTGATAGGAGACAGGTCTGAGGACTCCTCTAGAAATGGGCTAAGCAGGGCCTTTGAAGCCTGGCAAGAGGCATCTGTTGTATTCCTATTGCAAGTGGAAACCAGGGGAGGGTTTTAGGTGTAGGGATGATGTTGTCTCATTTAAATTGTACAAATAGACTCTGGCTTCCATGTGGAGAATAGATTGAAGAACAACAGTGTACACAGGGATATGAGCTAGGAACCAAAGTCATCTACTCTTAATGATGTCAGTTCAGTTCAATGAAGCACTCACATAGGAGAGCATTGAAAACAGCATGTTAGCATCTTGTCATATTCTTACTTTAAGACTTGTCTTTATTGGGACATAAAGGTGATTTACACTTAAAGGAATTTCAGAACTTTTGTAGGAGGTTTTTGGGGAAAAGAAGAAGTTGAATCAGTATACGAGTATGAGTCATTGCTAGGCAGTTGCCTTAGTGGAGAGGACGACATTGGAAAAGGGGGTCTGCAAGTGAAATAACTTTTAATCATAAAGAACATTTCATGGGAGCCAAACTGGCTGCCCTGAAATCGCTCCCCTAGGACTCTAGAAAGGACTGGACTTGGACTCAGAAGATCTGAGTTTCAACCTTGGAATCATCCCTTTAGTAGGTTTAACTTCTCTGAGCTTCTAGGTTTGCTCATCTATTAAACAAAAGAGCTTCATCATGTGATAAGTAAGATCTTTATCAATTATACAAATAATCCATTAATGACTCTATTAGTTATAATGATATCCTTTCTGACATCCAGGCATCTCCAGTGAAACTTTATGCATTGTATTTTCATAGAAAAATAGAGCTGAAAATTACTTAATTATTATGTAAACATTTGTTTATATACTCATAGTTGCTCATTTTATAGATAAGAAAACCAAATAAACTAGCCATGAACTAATGAATTAGCCATGAACTAAGGAACTTTTACCATTAATGTGAGCTGCACACTGCAACTCAGCTCACATGATTCCTGATTAAGTGTTCTTTCATTATTACTTGTAGTCATAACTTCAAGGAAGTTCTGTCCACAGGATAATTACAATATTTCTTATATTAATTCTTTGTCTTTCCTACATAGAAGCATCTGTGAGCTGGTGAGTTTGGAAGCGAATAAACTCTTCTATAATCCCTTACAAAATAGTATAATTTTCCCATACAAATAATGTACAAAAGTGTATTTCTCAGAACTATAATTAGTTGGATTTTTGGGCCAACTGCAGGTACAAAATGTGGACCTTTTAATGGAGCTTTCAATTCCAGAACATCCAAAAACCTTATTTATTTTGTTCTGATGCATAGAGAAAAATATGAGTAAGAAATTCTTTCTATTTGTTATATTAATTTTAAAATAATGGGAAAAGAGGGATAGAAGTGTACCTTTTATAAACTTTTTTTTTGTAAAAATGGGAATTAGACAACTTCAACAGAGGAGTTAGCAGCTAGCCAAACTCAATGAAGATCTGTTGTTTAAAAACCGACACTAGCCTTCTTTAAAATTTTGTCTTTTGTCCAGATACATTATCAGCACCCTCTTTTATTCACTGTAATCTCCAAATGAGCCCCAAGAGATGAATAAATCATTTTGTTGCTGCTAAAGATCTCTTGAGAAATCTTTTTGATGACATAAATAAGTAAAGACAGATAGCTGCACATTTTAAGTAAATAGATAATGCTTTTTAAAAACTTTCTCTTTCAAATAATCAGAAGTAGAATTCCACATCAAAGTGGGATTTCAAAGGTGTAGAAACAAGGGTGGAGCTAAAAATTATACCAAGCTTAAAACAAAAATAAATGCGCCTAATTGGGGATCAATTAGTGTCAACTTAAAGAGCAGAAATTTTCCACAATTTCTCAGTTCTGGGATGAGATCCCCGCCTCCTTTCTCAAAGCATGCCCACCTTTCTACTTGCAGCTCATGGTAATATCCCATGAGATTTAATCAAGAGAGAGCCTTGGGAACCACAGCCAAAATTTCCATTTGATTCCAAAAGGAAAAAGATGGGAAAATTATAAAGATTACATGGAAGTGGGAGACATTCTGAGAAAAAAAAAAAAAACTCAACTGAAATTCTTATTGGATTGTTCCTTTAGAGTTAGTAACATTGAGATAAATAGAATGATTGTATTCATTTAGTATGTAGGGAGAAAGTGGAGTGACTATGAAATTCCTTTCTTGTTCTGAAATTGAGGCAGTAATTAAGAGCCTACCAACAACAACAAAAAAGCCCAGGACCAGACTGATTCACAGCCGAATTCTACCAGAGTTACAAAGAGGAGCTGGTACCATTCCTTCTGAAACTACTCCAAACAATAGAAAAAGAGGGACTCCTCCCTAATTCATTTTATGAGGCCAGCATCATCCTGATACCAAAACCTGGCAGAGACCCAGCCAAAAAAGGGAAATTTCAGGCCAATATCCCTGATGAACATCAATGCTAAAATCCTCAATAAAATACTGCCAAACCGAGTCCAGCAGCACATCAAAAAGCTTATCTACCACAATCAAGTCAGCTTCATCCCTGGGATGCAAGGCTAGTTCAACATATGCAAATCAATAAATGTAATCCATCACTTAAACAGAACCAATGACAAAAACCACATGATTATCTCAATAGATGCAGAAAAGGTCTTCAATAAAATTAAACACCCCTTCATGCTAAAAACTTTTGAAAACTAGGTACTGATGGAACGTATCTCAAAACAATAAGAGCTATTTATGACAGATCCATAGCCAATATCATACTGAATGGGCAAAAGCTGGAAGCATTCCCTTTGAAAACTGGCACAAAATAAGGATGCCCTCTTTCACCACTCCTATTCAACATAGTATTGGAAGTTCTGGCCAGGGCAATCAGGAAAGAGAAAGAAATAAAGCGTATTCAAATAGGAAGAGAGGAAGTCAAATCGTTTCTGTTTGCAGATGGCATTATTGTACATTTAGAAAATCCCACTGTCTCAGTCCCAAATCTCCTTAAGCTGATAAGCAACTTCAGCATAGTCTCAGGATACAAAATCAATGTGCAAAAAATCACAAGCATTCCTATACACCAATAATAGACAAACAGAGAGCCAAATCATGAGTGAACTCCCATTCACAATGGCTACAAAAAAGAATAAAATACCTAGGAATACAACTTACAATGCATGTAAAGGACCTCTTCAAGGAGAACTACAAACCACCACTCGAGGAAATAAGAGAGGACACAAACAAATAGAAAAACATTCCATGCTCATGGATAGGAAGAATCAATATTGTGAAAATGGCCAAACTGCCCAAAGTAATTTATAGATTCAATGCTATTCCCGTCAAGCTACCACTGACTTTCCTCACAGAGTTGGAGAAAACTACTTTAAAGTTCATATGGAACCAAAAATAGCCCATATAGCCAAGACAATCCTAAGCAAAAAGAGCAAAGCTAGAGACATCACGCTACCTGACTTCAAATTATACTACAGGCTACAGTAACCAAAACACCATGATACTGGTACCAAAACAGATATATAGACCAATAGAACAGAACAGAGGCCTCAGAAATAATGGCGCACATCTACAACCATCTAATCTTTGACAAACCTGACAAAAACAAGCAATGGAGAAAAGATTCCCTATTTAATAAATGATGCTGGGAAAACTGGCTAGCCATATGCAGAAAACTGAAACTGGACCCTTTCCTTACACCTTATACAAAAATTAACTCAAGATGGATTAAAGACTTAAATGTAAGACATAAAAACATAAAAACCCTAGAAGAAAACCTAGGCAATACCATTCAGGACATAGGCATGGGCAAAGACCTCATGACTAAAACACCAAAAGCAATGGCAACAAAAGCCAAAATTGACAAATGGGATCTAATTAAACTAAAGGGCTTCTGCACAGCAAAAGAAACTATCATCAAAGTGAACAGGCAACCCACAGAATGGGAGAAAATTTTTGCAATCTATCCATCTGACAAAGAACTAATATCCAGAATCTATAAGGAACTTAACCAAATTTACAAGAAAAAAAAACATCAAAAGGTGGGCAAAGGATATGAGCAGACACTTCTCAAAAGAAGACATTTAATGAGGCCAATAAACATATGAAGAAAACCTCATCATCACTGCTCATTAGAGAAATGCAAATCCAAACCACAATGAGATACCATCTCATGCCAGTTAGAGTGGTAATCATTAAAAAGTCAGGAAACAACAGATGCTGGAGAGGATGTGGAGAAATAGGAACGCTTTTACACTGTTGGTGGGAGTGTAAATTAGTTCAACCATTGTGGAAGACAGTGTGGCGATTCTGCAAGGATCTAGAACCAGAAATACCACTTGACCAAGCAATCCCATTGCTGGGCATATAACCAAAGGATTATAAATCATTCTGCTGTAAAGACACATGCACACGTACGTTTATTGCAGGACTGTTCACAGTAGCAAAGATTTGGAACCAACCTAAATGCCTATCCATAATAGGTTGGATAAAGAAAATGTGGCACATATACACCCTGGAATACTATGCAGCCATAAAAATGGATGAGTTCATGTCCTTTGGATGAAGCTGGAAACCACCATTCTCAGCAAACTAACACAGGAACAGAAAACCAAACACTCACTCAAAAGTGGGAGTTGAACAACAAGAACACATGGACACAGGGAGGGGAACATCACACACCAGGGCCTATCGGTGGGTGGTGGGCTAGGAGATGGATAGCATTAGGAGAAATACCTAATGTAGTTGATGGGTTTATGGGTGCAGCAAGCCACATGGCACATGTATAACTATGTAACAAACCTGCACGTTCTGCACATGTACCCCAGAACTTAAAAGAATAATTAAAGAAAAAAAAAAGAAATTCCTCACTTGGAATTCCTGGTGATCCTACTAACAGCATTTTTACTCTCTGTAAATATTGTAAACTTTTTGTGTTTGCAACACACTCTCAAGTATTAGGGTTGCTTTGTCACATGTTAAAAATGTAAATACAAACAAGTGCCTTAGATATAAGTGTCTGAGCTAAACAAGTCCACAAGAATTAAGACATGTGTCTGCTAGAGTACATAATACCTCCCAGTTCTGCGAAAAACAAGAGTTATCACACTATTGAGTTTGTTGTCTTCTGCCCTACCCACTCTAGGAAGAACTGTTTCTTCTCCTGATTTTACCCCTTTATATCCTTGTTAGATAAACATCTTGGCAGGTTCAGTTGACACACAGTCTACTGTGACATAAACATACCTTAGTGCCTGTCTCTCACCTGGTACTTGAGCATACTTTCAACACTATACTTCATCATGCAACCTGCTACTAGCTTCAGTATTCTGAGAACCATTGCCATTGAAATAAATGATAGTTGTGGCAATAATAAACTTTCCAAATTAATGATAATTTGTTGACAGCTCTTCGAGATTTCTTTCTTCATGTTGGGGCACACTGGATGAGAAATACCGTTCTCAACCTGTTTTAGTAACTCTTCGGCCACATACATGTGCCTTAAAGAGCAGTGATTGCTTCTCTTACCAATTTCCTACTCTCATGATCTTGCCTACTCTACCTCATGTCAAACTCTGAAAATGAATTGACTTTTGGCAATTCAATCTGAAATTCTTATCAGTCTAATTTAGGGGATTTGTCTACTGTCATCAATAAGAAAAGGTCAACCTATGTCTGAGGCAGGTGTTTGGAGAGAGCATTGTAATGTATGAATAGGTGTTCACATCATATTTAGGAAATATTTCAATGCCATTAAATTAGTTGTAAGAAACAATATTTTTTGTACTGCTCTTCGGTATGCAATTATATTCCCAAAATATAGAGAATATATAAGAATATTCATGTTTGTGTGTACTTGTATCAGTGTTGGCATAGGTATATGAATGAACCCTAGAAAGATTAGTGTACATTTATAGAACAGATAATTATCTTAACTTTTGAAATATTATTAATTCATGGCAAGCTTTACTTTTGGCTGAAACTGAATCATAAAACTTGATCTTGTATTAAGGATTTGTAATGGATTGTTACAAAAGGAAATGTTGGGAATCGGGATATGAGTGAGAACAAAATATTTATCTACGTTTCTCTATGCATGTGGCAATTCTTCTGTAGCTTTGTAATACTTTTTGCATATTTTCTGCCCTTGATCATCATACATGGTATCCCATGTAGCTCCAAATGTTGAATATAAAATTCTAACTTGCCTCTCCACCCACATCAGTTTCACAATTACTAGCACCTATCTCTGCCTTCCTTGTGCTCCTTCACTTAGAGTAAGAATCTATTCCCTGGAATATACATCCGTAACTGAAGTCTCTTCTTTTTCTGTTTTCAAGGATGGGAGGAACAGTTTTATTGGACACCAACTGGGCGGGGTAGTGGAAGTGCCAAACAGCAAAGATCAGCGGGTCAAGTCAGCCAGAGCCATTCAAATCACCTACTACCTCCAGACCTATGGCTCTGCCACCCAAGACCTCATAGGGGAGAAGTGGGAGAATGAGTTCTGTAAGCTTATAAGGAAGCTCCAGGAGGAGCATCAAGAACTCCAGCTCTACTCTTTAGCATCCTTTAGCCTCTGGAGGGACTTTCATAAGACCAGCATCCTGGCCAGAAGCAAGGTCCTGGTGAGCCTCGTGCTGATCCTGACCACAGCCACCCTCTCCAGCTCCATGAAGGACTGCTTGCGCAGTAAGCCCTTCCTGGGCCTCCTGGGGGTGCTCACAGTATGCATCTCCATCATCACAGCAGCAGGGATCTTCTTCATCACCGATGGAAAGTACAACTCCACCCTGCTGGGAATCCCGTTCTTCGCCATGGGTAACTATCCATCCTTGTGGTAATCGGATTCTTACCGGTTTGGGGCAAGGTAGTATATTTCTTGAATTCTCAGGTGGAAATCTGTTTTAATTTTGCATTGGGGTGTCTATGTCATTACATAAAATTTTACTTGGGGTTGTGTCTGTTTCACCTTATTGGGCCTTTCAGGAAATTATGGGATAAGCAAAACCATCTACTCATTTAATTTAATGCTGTCAAATGTTTTTAAGTTATACAACATTGGAATTCTCTACTCAGATCCCTCAAAAATAACAGATCAGGGATTATGAGAGACCGAGTTAAGGAGATCCAAAATCTACTTCGAGCAAAATTTTGTGGTCCATATTCATGGCCATTCTCAAGTTGATGGGAGTGAAGAGTGAATATCATGGGATGAAAATTCTGAGGACCAATGATGTGTCCTAATCTCAAAGAACTTCTTAAGTAAGCTTTGTTTATTAATTTATTTCAATGTTTCTGCACAGAGTATACTCCATTCCCCTACCTCTGTATAAACTAAAACCTTCCTGCTGCCACTTAGAAATATCCTCTAATTTTTTTCATCTTTGGTGAAAAGAATTAATGAATAGCCTTAGTCAAGATTATCTCATCTTGTAAGTTTTCCTCCAGCTATACATAAATGGTCTAGAAAATACTATGTAGGTGGTGCGTGTGTGTGTGTGTGTGTGTGTGTGTGCGCGCGCGCACATATTCTTTCAAAGAGAAGATCAAATCTGGGAATAAAGGCACGTAAGTGCTTAGCAACAAGACTGATGTGTCTTATCAGAAAAGAGATGATGATAGTGATAGCTGTTGGTTCAGCAAGAGGGTTCTACACATCAGGTGTGATGTAATTCCCTATGTGTAGTGATTTAGAGAATGAGCTGCAAATAGCTTATTGGTGGTGAACTGACATGAGCAAGACAGTCTTCATATTAGACATCTTAGGGCTTGCTAGGGGTTTTGCTAAAACTGCTGGTGAACTAATTAGGTAATGGAAAGATCTATGAGGAAAACAGACAATTATATATTCCATACAAATAAAGAGAAGCGCTACCTCTCCTGATGCTGGATTGTAATATATGTCCTATGAAGCCAGAGAAGTGTTTTCATTCCTTAAACAAAATAATTGTTTCTCACCCTCCAGGTTAAAATCAGCTCTGAATTACAGCTTTATTGGCAAATTTAAAAAGATGCAGGCGTGTGGTCAGAAAGTCTTCTAGGTGACATAGGCCCTTTCTTTTTCAACCTTAGCAAATGTTTTTGAGAATGAAAATATGAAGTGTGTTTATATGATAGATGATGGGATCTAACTTATTTATCTATTAACTCAATATCATTGTGGCCATGTTAAGTTGTTAGTTCATCTTCTTTTTTCTTTTCTTTTTTTTGGGGGGACAGAGTCTCGCTCTGTCTTCCAGGCTGGAGTGCAGTGTCACGATCTCAACTCACTGCAACCTCTCTTGCTCAGGTTCAAATGATCCTCTTGCCTCAGCCTCCTGAGTAGCTGGGATTACAGGTGCTGGCTACCACTCCTGGCTAATTTTTTGTATTTTTAGTAGAGACGAGGTTTCACCGTGTTGGCCAGGCTGATCTCAAACTCCTGATTTCAGGTGATCCACCCACTTCAGCCTCCCAAAGTGCTGGGATTACAGGCGTAAGCCACCACGCCCAGCTAGTTCACCTTCTTAAACCTCAGTTTTTTCTCATATAAAATGGGGAATATAATGATGTCAGTTTCAAAAACTAGGTTTGAAAAATGTAACAGTATATAATTAAAGCTCATAGCCTATAGTAAATGCTAAGTAAATATCAGCAAGTTTTACTATTTAACCTGATGTTTTAAGTGCAATGGATTCACTAATGAATAGAAAACAGCCCTTGGCTTTAGGAAATTGAGCCTTCCTGGATTTTGCATATCATCTCTAAATACATATTAATATTGTTAGTAAATAGTATCTTTCTTTTTCCCAAAGAACTTATTCTATAAAAAAATTCTTGTCACCAATGACAAAGATGAGTCTAGATTTGAACCATTTACACTTGTTACATTTTTTTGAATGAAGTCTCATCGCTTGAAATAATAAGATTTATAAGAACCATACAGCATGATTTACAAATGAAACATAGTTCATTGGAGGTTAACAAATTGGACACCTTACTGCTTTCCAGGGTTGCTTTCTAAAACTGCTGATGAACTAATTAGGTAATGAAAGCATTTACCAGAAAAACATACAATTACATATTCCATAAAATAAAGAGAAAAACTACCTCTGCTGATGCTGGATTGTAACCTAGGCTCTGTGAAGCCCGAGAGGTATTTCCGTTCTTTAAACAAATAACTGGAATGCTAAAAGCCACAGTGAGGGAAAAGTCTAGACCCTTCAACACACACTTTGCACCTCTCCCAGTGACTTTTAGAATCATAAATAAACCCTTCACAGTGTAGGTGCAGACTTTAGGAAGACTGCTTAATGGTCCCTCTGAAGTATTTCTGCAATTCAAGTCCTTAAAATCTTCTGAAAGGATCATTTCTGCTATTTCTGAAAACATACCAACAGAAGACCTAAGAACATATACTTTAAGATTTTTGCTCCATAAAGGGGGCATTTGTTTGGTTGTGTTTTGTTTTATTTTTAAAATGATTGTAGTAGAAAAGAGGCCAAGATTGAGAACTGGTGAAATAAAAGGAACACTCTGCTAGGTTTTCATCCCAGCATTTCTACTAACTCTGTGTGTTATATTGGGCAGTTCTGTGACATCCCTTTGCCTTAAGTCCTTCATATATAAAATAAAGGATTTGGAATCTTCAGCCTTACAATTTGAAGATTTCAAAATACAATTTGTTTCATCTTTGAAGTTAGTATTTAATCCTTTATAAAAATCTTTAAAGTATATGTTATCCTCAAATCTCTAATCTATAGTCTCCTTTGTTGCCTTCTAATGCCTTCAGAGATAGAAAGAGAGAGACAGAGAGGCTTAGAATAGAAAAATCACAGCTTTGCATACAGAGCCTCAGATACACAAAGCTGTGAGACATAAAAGCATATTGCTATGAAGGTGGTGAGGTGGAATGTGAAGTTGAGCATAAATACGTTGTGTTTGCCACATATATATCTGCTGGTGGTATACACGATAATGGTTGAAACCAGTTTTTGATGAATTACAGTTTACATGGTGTCAAAACTGCATAATCCCTAAGTTAGCTGGGTATAAGGGAAAGAAGCCCAACTCTTCTAGTAAACCTCTATTTCTATTCCTGTCTTCCTAAGATGACTTCTTTGAGATAGTGAATATTTATTTACTCCATTATGTGTCAATACTCAAACCATTCATGCTTATCAGTATCATCCCTGAAGCTGGGTGTGTCGCTGATACTGTTTGTTCCTCACACTGAACTGGCTTAGCTGTCTTCTCTTCGACTGCCTATCTTGCCTCTGTACTGCATCTCCTTGTTCTTTTTGTCTTGTCATTCATCCACTTAATATTCTCAAAGTCATTTCAGAGGCATATATACTGTACCTAAATATCCCACATTTTTTAAGCCAGTGACAATTTTTATACTTTGTCCTGGTGTTCTCATAAAAAAAATTATATGTGTCAAATTGTATGTCTCAGATTGGGGTTTAGAAAAAAAGATTATTAGAGGTGCATGCAGTCTCTCTAGAGAAGTATTCAGAAAGAATTCCAAAATTCTAATAATTTTTTTTTTCTTTTGAGATGAAGTCTCGCTCTGTCACCCAGGCTGGAGTTCAGTAGCATGATCTTGGCTCACTGCAACCTCCACCTTCCGGGTTCAAGTGATTCTCCTGCCTCAGCCTCCCAAGTAGCTGGGACTATAGGCGTGTGCCACCACGCCTGGCTAATTTTTGTATTTTTAGTAGAGATGGGGTTTCACCATGTTGGCCAGGCTGGTCTCAAACTCCTGACCTCAGGTGATCCACCTGCCTTGGCCTCCCAAAGTTCTGGGATTATAGCATGAGCCACCGTGCTGGGCCATAATTTTTTAAAAAAATACTTGAAAGGACCTCATTTAGTGCTAGCCTAACATCCTTTCTCTCTCTAAGCACATACCAATGAGAATGGCACTAATTTAATTTATAACTCATTGTCAGCCTTTTTTTCACCTCATTTGCTTTATGTGGATGTGTTTCCTCTTTCTGGAAGAAGAAATATGGGCTAATATTACACACAGATGCCAAGCTGGCTCATTCTGTGCTTTGCTGATATTCTATGGATAGTTGCCAGGAACAGTAGTAGCCTCGGATCACTATTATTTTTTTGTCCATTCTGAGTCTGCGTTATGTGTAAAAGTCTCACTTCAGTCAGCTTGACACCACAGGACACAGTGATGACTCGTTTTTTGCAAGTAAAAACAAGCCTTTCAGATACAGATTTTCACTCATTTTTCCAAACTGAGACTCATTTAAATTGTTTATTAATTTTCAAAGATTTATTGAGCATCTACTATGTTCAAGAAATTTTTGGGTTCTGAAGTAAAAGGCATTGAACAGAAATGATCAAGTTGTCACCCTCATGAACCTTACGTTTTAGGACTGCAAAAGGGATGAATAGGACAACTAAATAGAGAAATATAAACTATGTTATATGATTTCTAGGTGATATAAATAAAACAAATAAAGCAGAATAAGGGATAAAGAACATAAGTGGTCAGATAAAAGCCTTTCTAAAGAGTAAAATTGAAGCAGAGAGCTAAACGAAGCACCTGAGATGAGTGGCTCTGGCAGAGAGAAATATATGTGCTAAGGCTTTAATATAGGACCTTGCTTGGCGAAGCTGAAGAAGAGCAAGAAAGCGAATATGTCTGGATCAGAGTCTGATCTGAGTATGAGTGTTACAAGAAGGGGTCTAAGAGGTAGTATTGGGTCAGGTCATATAGGACACTGAGAATTAACCTTCGGGTGAAATTAAAGCTGTTTGAAGTATTTTGAGACAAGAGGGTGTGGTCTGACATACTTTATAAAGATATTTTTGTCTACATTACATAAATTAATTTGCAATGGGGCAAGAATAATTCTACAGAGACTATTTAACAGGTTATTGCAAATTTTGCGTGGGATATAATGGTGATGTGAAATAGCGTGGGAGCAGGGATGGTGATAAAAAGGAATTAGACTCAGGATAAATATTTGAAAATAGAATTGACAGGACTCAGTGAGGGACTAGATATGGCATGTAAGAGAAAAAGAATTGTCAATGATGACCCCAGGCTTAGAGGACCAAATAAGTGATAGAATGCATTTGCCATTTACTGCAGTAGTGAAGTCATGAGAGGAATTCACTGTGGGAGAAAAACAAAACCAAGTGGCAAATGTGGAGTCAGTAATATAACACAGTACATAGATCAGGTTCAGAGGAAATATGTAAATTAGAGCTGAAGATACAAATTTGAGATTCATCACAGCATAGCTAATATTGAAAACCATAGAATCCAATGAGATCAAGTATAAAGATAAATATAAATGAAAAAATAAGACATCCAAGATTTGAGCCCCGGAGCATTTCAATGGTTAGAAATTGGGAAGATGAGGGATTCAGAAAATGACACTAAGAAGGATCAGGCAGAAAAATAGCATGAGAAGCAAGAGAGAATAACGAACCAGCAGCAGAGTAAAGAAAGTGTTTTATGAAGGAACAAGAGAGTGATTGTTCCAAAAGCGGCTAAGAAACTGTGTCCGTTAAGAACTGAGAAGTAGCCATCTGATTTAGCAATATAGAAGTCATTGGTGACTTTGAAAAGAGCTGCTTGGGGGAATGCTGAAAATGAAAGGGTAATTTCAAGAGATTCAATACAGATTGGAGGGAATGAAGTGAAGATAGTGAATAAAGACAATTATTATTATTATTATTATTATTATACTTTAAGTTTTAGGGTACATGTGCACAATGTGCAGGTTTGTTACATATATATACATGTGCCATGTTGGTGTGCTGCACCCAGTAACTCGTCATTTAACATTAGGTATATCTCCTAATGCTATCCCTCCCCCCTACCCCCACCCCACAACAGGCCCCAGTGTGTGATATTCCCCTTCCTGTGTCCATGTGTTCTCATTGTTCAATTCCCACCTATGAGTGAGAACATGCGGTGTATGGTTTTTTGTCCTTGTGATAGTTTGCTGACAATGATGGTTTCCAGCTTCACCCACGTCCCTACAAAGGACATGAACTCATCATTTTTTATGGCTGCATAGTATTCCATGGTGTATATGTGCCACATTTTCTTAATCCAGTCTATCATTGTTGGACATTTGAGTTGGTTCCAAGTCTTTGCTATTGTGAATAGTGCCACAATAAACATGTGTGCGTCTGTGTTTATAGCAGCATGATTTATACTCCTTTGGGTATATACCCACTAATGGGATGGCTGGGTCAAATGGTATTTCTAGGTCTAGATCCCTGAGGAATCGCCACACCGACTTCCACAATGGTTGAACTAGTTTACATTCCCACCAACAGTGTAAAAGTATTCCTATTTCTCCACATCCTCTCCAGCACCTGTTGTTTCCTGACTTTTTAATGATCGCCATTCTAACTGGTGTGTGATGGTATCTCATTGTGGTTTTTGATTTGCATTTCTCTGATGGCCAGTGATGATGAACATTTTTTCATGTGTCTTTTGGCTGCATAAATGTCTTCTTTTGACAAGTGTCTGTTCATATCCTTCACCCACTTGTTGATGGGGTTGTTTGGTTTTTTCTTGTAAATTTGTTTGAGTTCATTGTAGATTCTGGATATTAGCCCTTTGGCAGATGAGTAGATTGCAAAAATTTTCTTCCATTCTGTAGGTTGCCTGTTCACGCTAATGGTAGTTTCTTTTGCTGTGCAGAAGCTCTTTAGTTTAATTAGATCCCATTTGTCAATTTTGGCTTTTGTTGCCATTGCTTTTGGTGTTTTAGACATGAAGTCCTTGCCCATGCCTATGTCCTGAATGGTATTGCCTAGGTTTTCTTCTAGGGTTTTTATGGTTTTAGATCTAACATTTAGGTCTTTAATACGTCTTGAATTAATTTTTGTATAAGGTGTAAGGAAGGGATCCACTTTCAGCTTTCCACATATGGCTATCCAGTTTTCCCAGCACCATTTATTAAATAGGGAATCCTTTCCCCAGTTCTTGTTTTTGTCACGTTTGTCAAAGATCAGATGGTTGTAGATATGTGGCATTATTTCTGAGGGATCTGTTCTGTTCCGTTGGTCTATATCTCTGTTTTGGTACCAGTACCATGCTGTTTTGGTTACTGTAGCCTTGTAGTATATAGTTCGAAGTCAGGTAGCATGATGCCTCCAGCTTCGTTCTTTTGGCTTAGGATTGACTTGGCAATGTGAGCTCTTTTTTGGTTCCATATGAACTTTAAAGTAGTTTTCTCCAATTCTGTGAAGAAAGTCATTGGTAGCTTGATGGGGATGGCATTGAATCTATAAATTACCTAGGGCAGTATGGCCATTTTCATGATATTGATTCTTCCTATCCATGAGCATGGAATGTTCTTCCATTTTTTTTGTATCCTCTTTTATTTCATTGAGCAGTGGTTTGTAGTTCTCCTTGAAGAGGTCCTTCACATCCCTTGTAAGTTGGATTCCTAGGTGTTTTATTCTCTTTGAAGCAATTGTGAATGGGAGTTCACTCATGATTTGGCTCTCTGTTTGTCTGTTGTTGGTGTATAAGAATGCTTGTGATTTTTGCACATTGTTCTTTCGAGGGATTTTGCATTAAAAAGAAATTAATATTTGCATGCTGATGGGAACACTCAGGTGAGAAAGAAAACTTTATAGGAAAGCAGAGAGAGGAAGAAACTGCAGAAGCAATGCCACTGAGTAGGAAAGGGACTAGATTCAGAGCATAAGTGGAGTCATTTCATAGACAGTTCACCTACTATAGGTAAAGGAAAGGCCTAATACATGGACAGATCCAGATAACTCAGTGCATATGGGGATGAGAGCATGTGGAAATCCTCCTCTGTGCCTTCAGCTTTGTCAGCAAATATGAAGCCAGTCATCAGCTGAGAACAAACTTGGGGAAGGAGGTGTTGGTTTGTGGAAAGTGAAAGGAATTTGAGTCACCTTGGAAAACTGGAGACTGAATTAAAGAAAATTCGGAAAGATAACTAGAAATCTCTAAACGCCCACTTGAAGCTTGTGTTCATGAATTTTTTAAAAAAAGAAATGAGTAAACATGGTTGCTGTTTTCTTAACCCCTAGGCACATATAGCTGGGTAGAAGAATTAAGTAGGTGTTGAGTTGAATTTAATCAGAAAACAAAAAATGAGGTTTACAGTATATACAAAGATGTGACTATAATGACAGATCATGAAAATTGTGCGGGTCAGGGTCAGCTAGACTAGACTATGCTGTAATAACAAATAATGCCTTGATCATGTTAACATAACAAAGATATATTTCTTGTTTGTCTCTCAGTTTGATGTGGGTCAGGAAGACCTCTTTGCCACCTCTGTTCCAACAGAGACTCAGGGATCCAGGATGCCTCCATCTTGTAACCATGAATCCTCAGAGTTTGTGCTCAAGGCCATGCAGGCAAAAGAGAAAATAGAGAATTCATACCTATTTGTAACAGCCTTACCTCAGAAGTGATGCAGTTACTTCTTATACATTCTATTGGCTAGCCAACAGCACGGAGTATAGAAAACACAGATGGGCAAATGGATTGTTTTATGAGCATCACTTGTCTCTTTCACATAAACTAAACCAAACAATAAAGGAAATGGCAATATTATTTCCTAACATCACTATGGTAAGAAATTGATAAGTTGAAATATTATGGTTCTTTCTGGGTCAGATAATTGTTTTAGGTTGGAGTCTGTTCTAATTATCTGTGACTAGATACCTAGTTAACTATGTTGGAGATTTCTAGTTATCTATGACAAACACCACAAAATTTAGTAGGATAAAACAACCACTTTATTATGTTCATGGATTCTGTGGGTCAGTAGTTTTGAGAAGACATAGCTCTTCTGACCTCTGCGTTGTGCACGTCTATTTCCCAAAGCGTGAACCAGCACAGTGTTTAGGATATAGTGGGCCCACTAAGACTTAATGCTTGGCTAAAGTTCTTTATAATGATTACTTTACAGTATTAGAAATGTCTCTAATATGTTGCCACAGGACTTATTTTACTCAGGATCATCAAACACATCAAAATCCTTCCTAAAATAATTCCATTGCTGTAAGAGAAAGGACCTTATTATGACATCTGGAATGTTTAGTTGGAGCTATTTCTTAACCATATCAGTTGTAGTCATGCTACTTTGGTGACAGTCACCTCTTTTGAAAAACACTGGCCAATGATGTGAAAATATTCCCATGCTTATGCTTAGAGGCTTAGAGTCAGACGACTTGGAGTCCAGTCCAGCTCCTGCCTCTTAACCTGCTAGATGTCTTGTCCCTGGGCCTCCTTCATCTTACTCTCTCATTGGATGAGGAAGAACTCATTGTATTTTAACATCTCTTCCACTTTAGCTCTTTAATGAGTGAATCATTTATTTGACACTCATTCTGTATGTCATCTTTTCTAGAGTTTTGACTCACTGGGGGATAGAACTGTGTCTCCTTGGCATCTTTGCCATTGTCTAAAGTACCCATAGTCAACATTTTTAAACATTGACTTATTGGTGGCTTTTATGATTGCTAGAGTTCTTTGAGCAAGAAAAGTCTTAACTTTTGGTTGTTTTTAGCTTAGATATTTTAATGTGCCTATTTTTATGTATGTAATTCTTTAGTTTTAATTTTCTTGCCTATTTATTTCCTTCTCTGTTCTTCTTTTAGAGCTTTGACATGGACCTACTGTGTCAGACCTTTCTAATGAAGTGAGACATTGTCTCACTAACTGGTTTTGCTAGACCTTTTAAAGGAGGTGGAAAAGATAGCTATCTTGGCATGAGAAGTAAGAGGTGAATTTTATGTCAAGCATTTGAGGTAGCATTGACTAGTGTGTACTTTTTATTATATAGCACTGTCCAACACTGCTAGTAATTTTCCTGACTCCTTAAGGTTCTACATCTTCTTTGGAATCCACCTCCGTCTCTTGCACTTTTTACTGCAAATGAGTTTCCTCAAGTGGTTACTGAAGTTTAGGAATGAGAAAGAGTACTGTTACATAACAATTTTACTGAGGGTGAGATGCATATGGACCCATTTTAGTAATCTTGTTTATCTTGAGAGTAGCTGATATGCTAGTTTAGATTTTTTAAATGGAAAGATTTGTAAATATGCCTCCTGTTGTTCAATATGTGCTGCTCTTGCTTTTTACTTCTTGAGTCAGATAGTGAATCAGGATTGAATAGCTAAGCAGGGAGGGACATGGGAGTGACATCAATTTATCTAGCACATGGTAGAATAATAATATGGCAGGTACTTCCATTTCTCCAGCATCTAAGCCATCCTCAAATACATGTCTATCAAAAGCAACCTTAACACTTCTCATTAATTGAAGTCCACTTTACTGTCATGTCAGAATGTCCCAAGAAAAAAAAACATTCCTGGTGCAGGACAGCTGCAATTGCCAACCAGAATGGGATTTTTTTCTGCAGTACTGAATCAAGCAAGGTAAATGCTGCAATTGAAACTCTGGAAACTTGTAGGGTGAAAATGCATTAAGGGTTATGCCATTGTTTTTCTGAAGAAAAATGTGTTGAAAAATGGGAGATATACTTCCTAGATTCAATTATCTTTCAAGCCAGTATTATCATACCTAGTGATCTAACAAAAAAGAAAATTGGCAGAGAAAGATAAGATACATTCTATGTTTATTTGATGGTCCCAGAGGCCAACCTTAGGCTTCCAAGAATTGAGGAACCCCTGTGGACTAATTCCCACCTGCCTTCCTGGAACATGGTGGCTTATATTTGCAGCAAGTGTTTGTGTATCATAGTTGTTGGCTTCTTTGTTAATGATTGAGTAATGTCTTAATCCAGACCAAGACAAAATTCTAATATTCAAGACTTGACTTACAGATATCACTATGTACCCTTAGCAAATCAGTCTGAGTACAATCCTGAGTTTGAGTTTAATATAAAGAAGATGCTGCTGTTTGTTTTGCTGCTTCCCCTCGTTGACTTAGTCTAAATGGAAATAAGACTAGGTCCAGGCCAATGATACTTGAAGTGATTGTTTCCCTTTTAGGTGTAACATTCTAAACTAAATATTCTATTTAATGATATAAAGTAAGATAGTATATTAGTAAAGAGTATTTATTAACAGTATTTGAGGTGACATAATAAAAGGCATAAATAATATAGCCATATTACTAAATGATAAAAGCCAAGTAATGAAGGAAAATTAGATAATTTTACCAGAAATAAATGGGGACAAAATTAGGTAAAACTACTTTTTAGCACAAAAAAAAAGAAAAAAGAGAGGAAGGAGGTTAACTGGCTCACTTCATCGAATGAAAACCAAATAAGATCACACAAAAGAGATCACTGAAAGGCACCTAACATGTAGGTTTTGGGGTGAGACTGGTGAACATAATGAGGACTCATTATAATACTTAGCAGTAAATTGATGGCTTCATTCTCTATAATTCTATTACCTTCCTCCTCCTTTACCCTGCCATGATCAAGAGTCGAGGCAAGGGTATATACTTTACTGTGTTGCCACAATGCGGGGCAAATAATAAGTGGTGTGTTCAATAATTATTTCTTGAATGAATGACTTGTGATTTTACTAGCTCACAGCAAAGATAAAGGTTATTTTTTTAGAAAAGTGTTATACCCCTGAGTGTAAAATTATGTGTTCTTTTAAAAAATTTAAATCAATGGCTTTTAAACAAAGCCATTGAAAGTGATTGGGTGATGAAGGGATTTGGGTGTTTCAAGTGTAAGTTTAGTTTAAAAGTTGTACCTTTTCATGTTTGCGTGGAGCTTCATGCACTTAAAAGTATTCAATGGCCATTTTTTTATGAATATGGATTCCTTATTTGCCAAGAGGTAAGTAGGGCAGCTGTTTCTATTAAATAAGAAAGTAGTCATCAGGACCATTCTCAAGACTGTGTGGTCAGGATTACAACCTGCATTTCTTGACTTTGCCTCCCAGGCTCCTTGGCTCTGCTAGCTGTTCTCCAACTGAGCCCGGGGCTTCTGGGGTGCAGAGGGTACTGCGGGGCCTGAGAATAGTTGAGCCAGCAGGAGTCTCACTTACTCTGTAGCCCAGGCTGGGGAGCAGTGCTGCAATGTTGGCTCACTTCAAGCCCTGCCTCCCGGGTTCAAGTGATTCTCCTGTCTCAGCCACCCAAGTACCTAAGATTACAGGCATGCAACACCACACCCGGCTAATTTTTGAATTTTTATTAATAGTAGAGATGGGGTTTCACCATGTTGGCCAGGCTGATCTCCAACTCCTGACCTCAAGTGATCCGCTCGCCTCAGCCTCCCAAAAGTGCTGGGATTACAGGCATGAGCCACCGCGCCCAGCCACTCTCTCCTGATTCTGACCATGCACTTTGCTCTAAATATTTCACATGACAAGTTTCCGTAAAGATTTAGTTTGAATAAAAAATTACTATGAACGAAAAAAATATATAAAAGTTTGAAATAATCTTACAACAAACCCCTGTGACATGAATTTACCTATATAACAAACCTGCACATGTACCCTTAAAATAAAAGTTGAAAGTTAAACCTAAAATAAAAGTTAAAAGTTTGAAAACTGCCATTCCTCTACCATTCGACAGTGCCTCCTTCATAATATAATGGAAGGTAGAAATTATACTAGACATGAACTAAATGTGTTTCATAGCATGGGTGGCTGCACGTCCATCAAATATTTTATCCATGTACTTCCTGGAGTCATTTTATTGAAGTGTTCCTGGAGGTATGATTTTTACTTAACACCTTAACTTTCTCTCCTGTAGACAAGTTAACCCAATCTCAAAGGCTGGAGGCAATGATGGTTTATGGTTGCCAGGAAAAACTAAGTAAGATGCCAAGATATTCAATGACAGAATTATCTGTAATTTTGTTGTATTCCAGGGGAAGAACTTCTGTCTTATGGGTCAAGAAATTGTTTTATAAAGGTACAGTGGCAAACCAAACTCTCAACGAAGGAATCCCATTAAGCATGTTGACAAGAGATAAATAAGTGAGTGAGAATCTCTGTCTGGTAACCTCTCCAAAAAAGGGGCTTACATGTATCTTCTAACTAGGCTTCATTTTCTCAAGATATGTAAAAAGACCAGTTATTATTCAGAAGACTTTGTGATGAGCATAAATTAAAGCAGTGCTACCTGATGAATTTCTTTGTTCCTTTCAAAGAATGCTGCCCCAATGCCTCCCAGATGCTGTCCCATTGCTCCCTGGAAACTTCTGTGTATGTAAAACAGATGCTCACCTTGCTAGCCCCGATCATTCCATGTTGGCCACCTCCTTTTGTTGGTAAACTTTTGCCAAGATGAATCAATATCACTGACTATGTAAGTAAATGAACTAAGTAAATAGTGTTTCTGATGGGACTACCACACATTCTTTCTCCTTTCTTTATTTATTATAAATATTTTACTTATATATGTCAATAAACAGGTCAAATGAAACAAACGCTATCTATCTAGACCAAATGAGTTTAATCCTCAGAGAGTGACCATCTTTTTATGATTTCTAACTGTTTGAGGTTCTTCCCTACTGTTCCCTCCTGTAAACTTCCTAGAACATTTTTCTTTTTGGTTGTGTTATTTATTTCAGTCTATTTATCCCTTTGTCCATTCTAATTCTTCTTAACCTTTTCCTGAAAAATGAAAATCCTAAAGCAGAAGCAAGTGTGTTCCTGTATTCCCTCACCCTATCCAAATGCCATTACCAACATGCCATCTATATGTACTCAGCTCAGCACTGCTGTGTTTCCGTAGCATTTCAGCCAAGGCAGAGAAGTCCCTCCAAGGAAACCCATGGGTTTAGTGTCTGAATAGCTTCTAATTCTAAGCAAAACCTAGCTGATATCTATCCAAATACACAAGGCTGTTTCATATCTTGTGATGTTGCTTTTTCCAGAAATTACCTTCCACCTCTTACTTGTGATCTACCAGATTCAAATATTCTTTGTTCTATGTCATTTTTTACTGACCTCCAAATTTAAGAATCACTGATTGGTTTTCTCTTTTGCCTTCTCTGTACCCTTGTTTACATGCCTATCATCACTTCCCATGCTAGACTGCAAAGCCTTCATTAAAAGGTCAAGACTTGCTGTTTTTGTGTCCCAGGCAACTAGTAGAGGGCCTAGGACAATATAGGAGGAATTTTAAATTATTTTTGGACTGACTGAATGAAATATGCTCTGTCATATTGACCCACTATGCATAATTGGCTTTTACCTTGGGTGCCTTGCATGGGGTTCATGCTGGTCACTCTGTTTTCCCTCTCCATTGCCACCATATTTTCTTCCCACCTTTCTCTTTTCTCATCTTTGCTCTGGACAGCAGATTCCTATGGACTGCATCACCCAGTATCCCTTGTCCTCTGGCTTTTGGTTGGGTTTGGCCAATAAAAGTCACCACCAGAAGATAGTAGGGTAGAAGGAAAAACAGGTCAAAGTCTTTCTTACCTGCTCCCGCCTTCCCTGATCTAGCAACAACTTCAGTCTCTGGGAGGCAGCCTCTGCTCCATATCTACAGCCATCGTCAGGCACTGGTAATACTATTTTGTCTCTTATACTTTAAAAGTGATAACAGCTTCCTGCTCTCAATAGTCTGAGTACCTCAATGTACTTTTTGTTGTTCTGTTTTGTTTTTCCATTGGCTCTGCCCATATCTCTATAAGTAGTCCTTTAATTAAGATCTTTTTATTTCTACCATCTGAGGGATTTCTATATCCTTCTAAGCCTCTCAATTTCTTACTAGATATGAAACAGTACCCCCATGTCCTGCTGGATCTGAAGTCCTGCCCTAAGGTCCATCCACTTGTTTTAATTCATTGCCTAATTCTTGCCAAACAAACATGTTCAAAGGAAATGGATTCTACTCTCTACCAACCCAGCTGCTGGCCATCAGCAGACTTAGGAGCAGTCTGCATTGTCCACCTGACTTTGAATATCAACTGACACCTGGATATCTGCTGCCATATTCTGCCTGCTGCTTTGACATCTCAAGTTCACAAAGTCCTTAATATATTGTGCATTGCATCTCCTTTCAGAGGCCAGGCAACTGTCAAGGTTCATTTTACCTACTTTTATAATTCCTAGAGTCTGCTTTCTCCAAGTGGAAGTCTTGAGGGCAGAGCTCCCTGTGTAGACTAATTTTTATATCTATCTTAGCTATTGGGATATGTCGACTTTGAGAAAGAGCCTGAAGAAAATTCTTCTAACATACATGTTTTTACCATCATCATTGGTAAAATCGGAGGCTGGCATTAAAAGAGGTTATGCTCTCTACAAAGCAAGAATAGAAAAATTATTGCATTGGTGACTTCCATAATCATTTTTAGGTCATGGTGGCTATTTTTTTCATTTACTTAGTTTAAGCTAAAAGTAGTTTGACGTATAATTGTTGCCTTACAGTCAGACTTTCCAAATATATATAAAAGAGGCTGCCTGTCCTTGTTTCGTGCCATGGTGCCCATGCTTTTGCAGCTGAAAATAGCATTGGCATTCATTCCTGGCACATTATACTGCAGGCTTCTATCTAATTTGCTGTCCACACTCACCCTGAAGTCCTTTTCAGCACTGCTGCTTTCCAAGTATTCCCTTCTCATTGAGTATCTGTATCTCATACAATGCTATTCATTTTTCATTTTCAAGGTTGACATACATCTTTCTACCAATCTCTCTTCACTCTATTCTGGGTAGTAATTGGGCGTGTCTGTGTTTAATTCATGTTTTCATTACAAAAGTAACGTAGCATATTTATTATAGGAAAACATTCAAAGAAAAAGAAAGTATCAAACCACCATCCAGATACTATTAGTAATAAAAAGTGTGTACATAATTTTATTACATCTATACTTAAATATATATATACAGAGATATCAAATGAAAGTGAGATGACTGTATATATGTTATTATGCATTCTGCTTTTTAATTTAATAATAATCAAGAATTTCCATAAGTGCAGAAACTGTATAAAACCTGCATGTGTACTATTTTTACTAATAGCTATATGTTGACACATATGAAGACTGCTCAAAGGAAGAAATAGAACAATACCAGCATTCCAGAAACCTCCTGAGCACGTTTTCTTAATTACAACTCCCTCCCTCATCTTTTGTGATAACATGTAAATTGGAAGGAAGTCTTCTGGTAATCAGTTTTTAGCTTTTCTTCATAGTTTCACCACATATGTTATTACGTGCGTGCATATGTATGTGTGTGTGTATATATATATGTTCACGTGTGTGTGTGTATATATATACACAATTATATCATCTTGGTGAATTAAATATTTTATCAGCATAAAGTGGTGTTCTATCTCTAGAAATAGTTTTCTGTTTTAAAGTCTATTTTCTAATATTACTATAGCTTCATCAGAATATTTTGTTCATATTTGTCGTTTCTCCATTGTTTTTGTACTAACCTGTTTTCTTACATTTTCCATATGTGTCTGGTAAATTGTGTATAGTTGAATGTGGAGATTCTTCCAGGCTAATGATTTTTTATCTCTTAGTGGAGAAATTTAGTCCCTTTAGTTCCTTCAAAATAATTTTGGATATGATTGAATTTAGATCTATTGTCTTATTTTTGCTTTCTAGTTGTCTCATATGTCTATATGTTATTATTGTTCTTTTTTTATTAACCATCTTTTGGATTGAATTAATATAATTCATCACTCATTTTTCCCTTTTACAAATTTGAAAGTTAAAAGTTTTGATTTTGATTTTGTGATTGTTATACAAATTACAGTATTCATATTTAGGAAATCTAAAATTAATCAAAACCTTCCTTTTCCTTTTATATATAATAAATAGCTTAGATCATTTAAGCTCCATTTAGACTTCCTCCCGACTTACATGATATTGCTGTCTAGCACTTTAAGTCTATTGTTAGTTTTTTTTTTAAACTTCATTAGACCTCGTTATTTCTTTTCGATACAGCTCATACATAATCTTTTACATTTACTAATACACATATTTACCGCTGTTTAACAATTGCTATTTCTTCTTACATCTCTGACCTTCCATCTGGGATCAGTCTTCTTTCTAAAGAACATTATTTAGTTCTCTAGAAATGTCCTGCTGGTGCAAACCTCTCTCCATTTTTTGTTTGTTTGTTTTACTCAGAATGTCTTTTTGGTCCTTATATTGAAAGCTGTTTTTACTGGGTACAAAATTCCTTTATTATATTGAAAATAACTATTCTCTATCATCTTTATCGCATTGTCTTTTTCTCTGACTGCTTATAAGATTCTTCTTTGTCTTTGGTTTTCTGCAGTTTCGCTGTGATATATCTAGATATGACTTCCTTTGATTGATTTATTCTATTTGTTTTGCTTTGAATTTGTCTCACTGAGGATTCATTGAACCTCTTGATTTCATGGTTCATGGTTTTTACAAAATCTAAAAAGCTATCAGCTTTATCTATTCAAATGATATTTTTATATTATTCTTTCCCTTCCCTCTTGTCCTCCAATCAAACATATATTACAATTTCTCATGTCTTTTATACTTCCTTTTGTATTTTCCCCTTGTCTCTGTGCTACATTGTGAAAGATTTCTTCCATCTGATAGAACAGTTTGCTAATTTTCTTCTTTGTAGCATCTAGATAAAAGAGAATATGTAGCTAATATGAATATGTAGCTAAACATATTCATTAAATTTTAAAATATTCATTAATGGATTTTTATTTCTACAAGTTTTAGTTCTTCTTGGAGTTGCCTATGTCTATACCTGTTTCCTGTCATCTGAAGATACTTTTTCAAGATTATTATTTATTTTTATTAAGGTAAGCACACGTATTAGTCCATTTTCATACTGCTGATAAAGACATACCTGAGACTGGGAAGAAAAAGAGTTTCAATTGGACTTACAGTTCCACATGGCTGGGGAAGCCTCAGAATCATGGTGGGAGGGAAAAGGTACTTCTTATATGGTGGTGGCAAGAGAAAATGAGAAGGATGCAAAAGCAGAAACCCCTGATAAAACCATCAGATCTCATGAGACTTATTCAGTACCATGAGAACAGTAAGGAGGAAACTGCCCCCATGATTCAAAATGTCTCCCACCGGGTCCCTCCCACAACATGTGGGAATTATGGGAGTACAACTCAAGATGAGATTTGGGTGGGGACACAACCAAACCATATCATTCTGCCCCGGCCCCTCCAAATCTCACATCCTCACATTTCAAAACCAGTCATGCCTTTCCAACAGTCCCCCAAAGTCTTAACTCATTTCAGCATTCACCCAAAAGTCCATAGTCCAAAGTCTCATCTGAGACAAGGCAAGTCCCTTCCGCCTATGATCCTGAAAAATCAAAAGCAAGCTGGTTACTTTCTAGATACAATGGGGCTACAGGTATTGGGTAAATATAGTCATTCCAAAGGGGAGAAATTGGGCAAAACAAAGGGGTCTGAAATCCAGCAGGGCAGTCAAATTTTCAAGCTCCAAAATTATCTCCTTTGACTCCAGGTCCCACATCGAGGTCACACTGATTCAAGAGATGGGTTCGATGGTCTTGGCAGCTCCACCCCTGTGGCTTTGCAGGGTAGAGTCCCCCTCCTGGTTGCTTTTGTGGGCTGTCATTGAATGTCTGTGGCTTTTCCAGGTGCATGGTGCAAGCTATTGGTGGATCTACGGTTCTGGGGTCTGGAAGACAGTGGCCTTCTTCGCACAGCTCCACTAGGTGGTGCCCCGGTGGGGCCTCTCTGTGGGGTCTCCGACCCCACATTTCCAATCTGCACTGCCCTAACAGAGGCTCTCCATGAGGGCCTCGCCCCTGCAGCAAACTTTTGCCTGGGCATCCAGGTGTTTCCATACATCTTCCGAAACCTAGTCAGAGGCTCCCAAACCTCAATTCTTGACTTCTGTGCACCTGCAGGCTTAATACCATGTGGAAGCTGCCAAGGCTTGGGGCCTCCACCTTCTGAAGCAACAGCCTGAGCTGTACCTTGGCCCCTTTTAGTCACAGCTGGAGTGGCTGAGATGCAGGGAACCAAGTACCTAGACTTCACACAGCACAGGGACCCTGGACTCCATCCACGAAACCACTATTTCCTTCTAAGCCTCTGGGCCTATGACAGGAAAGGCTACGTTGAAGACCTCTGACATGCCCTGGAGATGTTTTCCCCATTGTCTTTGTGATTAACTTATGCAAATTTCTAGAGCTGGCTTGAATTCCTCTTCAGTAAATGGGTTTTTCTTTTCTATCCCATTGTCAGGCTGCAAACTTTCTGAACTTTTATGCTCTGCTTCCCTTATAAAACTGAATGCCTTTAACAACACTCAAGTCACCTCTTGAAGGCTTTGCTGCTTAGAAATTTCTTCTGATACTCTAAATCATCTTTCTCAAGCTCAAAGTTCCACAAATCTCTAGTGCAGGGGCAAAATACTGCCAGTCTGTTTGCTAAAACATAACAAGAGTCACCTTTGCTCCAGCTCCCAACAAGTTCTTCATCTCCATCTGAGACCACCTCAGACTGAACCTTATCGTCCATATCGCTATCAGGCTTTTGGGAAAAACCATTCAACAAGTCTCTAGGAAGTTCCAAACTTTCCCACATTTCCCTATCTTCTTTTGAACCCTCCAAACTTTTCCAACCTCTGCCTGTTACCCAGTTGCAAAGTTGCTTCCACATTTTCGGGTATCTTTTCAGCAGTGCCCCACTCTACTGGTACCAATTTACTGAATTAGTCCATTTTCACACTGCTGATAAAGACATAACTGAGACTGGGAAAAAAAGAGGTTTAATTGGCCTTACAGTTCCACATGGCTGGGGAGGCCTCACAATCATGGTGGGAGATGAAAGGCACTTTTCACATGGCAGCAGCAAGAGCAAATGAGGAGGATGCAAAAGCAGAACCCCCTGATAGACCATCAGATTTCATGAGACCTATTCACTACCACAAGAACAGTATGGGGAAACTGCCCCCATGACTCATATGATCTCCCATGGGTCCTTCCCACAATACATGGGAATTATGGGAGTACTATTGAAGATGAGATTTGGGTGGGGACAGAGAGCCAAACCATATCAGCACAGTCTCTAAGGTTTTTATAATTAGTTCATTACCTGAGGTTTCTGTGGCTCTACTGCTGTTTGTCATTGGTATAGGTTTCTTGACTCAATCACCCTGTTTCTTTGTGTGTCTGGTTATCTATAAGTATGTGATAGTCACTATTTTTGCAAAAAATTGTATGGGTGTTTTCAGATTCCTAGAATGGTGTTGTCTCTTCCAAAGTGGCTATGTGTTTGTATCAGCCTAGAACTTGACAGCACTACTAATTGGAAAACATTTCAAATCTAGTCACAGCTTTAGGTTCCCTGTCCAATGTGTAAATGTATACAAAGACCCATCTATAATACAATGTCTTATTTTTTTCTTTTAATATTTCTTTTCCTCCTCTGCTTAGCACAGAGACAAGCTTCTATAAAATGTTATGTGACTGGGGTCAGGCACAGTGGCTCACACCTGTAAACCCAACACCTTGGGAGGCCAAGGCGGGCAGATCACCTGAAGTCAGGAGTTTGAGACCAGCCTGGCCAACATGGTGAAAACCCATCTCTACTAAAAATACAAAAATTAGTCAGGGTACGGTGATGCACATCTATAGTCCCAGCAACTTGGGAGGCTGAGGCTGGAGAATCACCTGAACCTGGAGGCAGAGACTGCAGTAAGCTGAGATCACGCCACTGTACTCCAGCCTGGGCAACAGAGCCAGACTCCATCTCAAAAAAAAAAAAAAATGTTATGTGACTGAGAGTAAGACATGGGGATTAGTTTTCATGTGACATTGTTCTAAAGCTATGGCTTTGGAAATCCAAGTTTGAATTGGAGAAGGTATCTCAATAAGACTTCTCATCTTGAGCAACCCTTGGAATTAAATTTCTGAACCCTCTCATTCCTTCAGGCCAGTAGCCTCAAGGAATTAGCACATTCAGAAATGGCCCTTTAGTGTATCTATGTGTTTATTTTTTATCAAGCATTTAGCATTTTTTTTAACTAAAGCATTAACAAAAATGACATAATCTTGGAATATTAAGAATCATAAGCAGCTGCACCATCACTTTAAATGGCTGGATACTTAGTCTTGTTTTTTTTTTTTTAATCTTTTTTTTTATTATACTTTAAGTTTAGGGTACTTGTGCACAACATGCAGGTTTGTTACATATGTATACATGTGCCATGTTGGTGTGCTGCACCCATTAACTCATCATTTAGCATTGGGTATATCTCCTAATGTTATCCCTCCCCCTTCCCCCCTCCCCCCACCCACAACAGTTCCCAGTGTGTGTTTTTAAGCCTTCACCATTTGAGTCTTTTTCAAATATGCATGTGTATGTTCTTAATGTTAATATTTACTGCCTCTAACCCAATTTTTCTCTTCATGTAATTTCCTAGGTGACAATTTGTTCATTATCTTCCATTTTAATCCAATAGATAATATTCAAATGCAAACTTTTTCAAACTTGCTTTTACTGTAGATCAATTATTACATTTTTTAATACCCTGGTATCTCCTTCTCAAAAAAAAGGTTTTGCCACCATGAGAAGTTTCAAAATACAAGATGCAGCAAATTGACTTTATCCAGAGTATGACGCTGCAACACACCACTGTTGCGTGTGATATCAAGCAGGTATTTCCCCTGGCAGTGGCATACCCATGATTGGAATGTTGAGTGGATACAAAGCAGACTATATCACTGGTAACCTTATTCTACAACTTGATGTATGCACATTATGGGAGAAGAAAGAAATGATATTCATGGTGATTCTTACAATTTACTGTTCAAAAATATTATTTGAAGTACTCTGGGGAGGAGCTTGATTAGACCAAATAGATAGAAAATGTAATACAGCTCCACTAGGCAGAATAGATTCAATGACTTGATGACAGTAAGATATAAAGAATCTCTTATAAAGCAGTTGAAGACAGGTAGAAGCAGTCACATATATCTCCATATCAAAAGATTCTTAACTAATACCTCAGGAGGCAGGCTACCAACATATTGTCCTGACAATAGGGAATGTTGGGATTTGTACGCTGGAGAATATATATGCTACTTAAAAGCATTCAAATTTAATTTTTGTAAGTATACCACCTATCCAAGATCTTGTGGTTAAGGAGCCAGAGTAACTAACAATGAAGATGTAATAATAACTAAAATATATTGAGCATTTATAATGTCCCAGTGATGAACACTTACCAGGTGTTAAATGACTTAATTCTCCCAATAATCCAAAATATAAGAATGATTGTCATAAATAAGGACAATGATACATAGATAATTTTAATAATTGGCTGAAGGTCATATCAGATAGCATGCAATAAAGCTAGAATACAAACACAAGAGCTCCATCTAAGTTCTTCTACTAAGCACATTATCCCTCCATATGTTTATAAATAGCTATTCATTTAGACAAAAGTTCTACAAACAGGGGTCATACTGTCTACAGATTTTCTAAAACCTCAGACATACTTCTTATATCATAAAAGGGATAAATTTCATACGTAATGATATTGTATTAATATATTATATCAATACTATTAATATATATGCTTACATAGACAATTACTCAGTTCAATATAGGCTGAAATTTTTCATGAAGCAGATCTGCTTTGGTCTCTATTCAAAAATAATTTAGATGTTGAAAAACCAAACAAGTCAAAAAGAGCAAACAAAATTTTAAAAAGAAAAATTTACTTCAATATAAGATCATACCACCACAAGCTTTCCTCAAAATGCACATTCCATGGATATTGAAAAAAAAAAGGAATGCATTTAAATGAAAATCTTTATGCTGAAATGACAACCTTTCTTTCCTTAAATGAACAGTGAAAAATAGGGCATGGCAATAAAAAATTATCTGAATATGGATATATAATACAAATAGCAATTGAATCGGCATGAATTTTATTTAATTAAAACTAGTTCTTTCATCATCCACTAAATGAAGGAGTTTTTTTCTAAAACAGGAAAATTAAATAGGAATAGTTATATCATAAATTGTTCTACTTTTTTACATATTTCCAACTAGCAATGTTAAAAATATTTTAAGTCTATATAAATGACTTTCATACACTTTCTTGCTGTCTATGTATATGCTTTGCTACTGCAAATAATTTTATTACCATCTGAAAATATTAGATTATCCTAGCTAGCTACTTCATAAAATTGCATCTGTGTCCTAAAATTTGTCCTTGTACCACTTATCAGTTTTAGCATATTCTTCATTTTGTGCTGTGTGGCCTTTTTTTTCAATATTTATTTAAGGCATAGAGAATCAATTCTATCAGCATGATGATTTTTATTCAACTATGTCAGCTTAAAAGAGTAGTAAGAATGGAAGCTATACATAGAGAAAGCAGGAGTCAGTAAGAAGTTAGCTTCTTAGAATAATTCCAAGGAATCATATGAAAAGATATATTAAGTTTGATGCATAAAAATCAGTTCTCATAAGTAAATGAAAATTTGTTGGAATGGTCATAATTATATTTGAAATTCCCATATTTGGAATTCCCAATGCATTTCACTGCAGAGAACTGAGCTAACTTTATACTCATTATAAAGTCACACAGAAAAATCTTAATAAATAGAAGAAATAAAAGTTTGTCTTCAAGATTTACATAAAATCTTGACTTATAAACTACCTAATTGCTTTTTGTACCTTTGGATTTCTCCTAGCCAAGTTATATTACATTCAAATTTATTTTATTTTAGATCATAAGTGCAATTATGACAAATTACCTGAACATTAAATTAATTAAACCATATTTATAGTTTTATAATATTAATATTTATTTTTCTTTCTGGGGCATTATCTTCTGAAACTGTGCCCATGGGTATATTTAGATATTCTCCAAGTATTTATTTATCTGCACTGAACCTTTATATGAAATAGAGGCTTTCTTATTTAAAAGAATCATTTTTAATGCAATCACCAATAAATCATTGTATTAAGATGATATGGTTTGGCTGTGTCATCACCCAAATCTCATTGACAATTGTAATCTGAATTTTAATCCCCATATGTCTAGGGAGGGACCTGATGGGAGGTAAATGAATCATGGGGGTGGTTTCCCCCATGACGTTCTGGTGACATTGATTGAGTTCTCATGAGATCTGATGGTTTTATAAGGCAGTATTCCATGCACATGCTTGCTCTCCTCTCTCCTGTCACCATGCAAGATGTGCCTGCTTCCCCTTCTGCCATGATTGTAAGTTTCCTAAGTCCCACCCAGCCATGAGGAACTGTGAGTCAATTAAACCTCTTTCCTTTATAAATTACCCAGTTTCAGGTAGTATCTTTATAGCAGTGTGAGAACATACTAATACATTAGATTTGGTTTAATGTCTAGCAAAATAGAGAATCCTTGAATTGTTTTTAGTTTAAATGATTATGAAATCAATAATTGCCAATTTATAAATATACTTATTTATATAGAAGCATTACTAATGCAAATATATTTCTAATAAAACACTTATTGATGATGTTTGTCACAAAGCATTTACAGCATATTATTTCTAATACAGTTTATTTAAATATACTGTATTACAATGGGAATGAAATATGTTATTATTTTTGTTTAAATATTACATATGTAATATTGTCATGAATTTACATAAGATTGGGTTAAATACCATTTGGTTTACTGACAAATGTTTGATATTTATGATTCATAGTACTTTGCAAATGCAACAATCTAGAATTATCCTGTTTTACTGGGTTCTAACACTGGACTGACAGATTAGCCTAGACTATCATAATATTTAGAGGTTTTTAGAATTTGAACTTCATAAGTGTTTCAACTGTTCGCATATTTTGCTAAGGTCATCGGTAATTTACTATCTTCTTTATTCTCCCCAAGTATGTTAAGGTAACTTTAGGTTAGGCATTTACCATCATTTTATCCTTTTACACACAAAGACTGAGTTTTGTCATATGGTTGCACTATAAAAAACTAAACTTGGAAATCTTAGTTATTTGCCCTTCAAATCTTGAAATACCAAATGTACCTTCCTAAATAGAAAAAACAATCTTTTTTTCAAAACTGTTTTAATGTCATGCCTTTAAAATGTTCTCAGAATGTTTGTCTGAACAGTAAGAAAGTGAAACATTTAAACCACTGAGAACTAAACGTTTGTCTTGTGAAATTCAAAAACATAGTTTGAACCCTGCATAAATTCAACATTGGCATTACAAGGCACCATTAAAACTTTTTAGATCATACTTTTTAATATGGTGAAATTCATTTTTCTACTGCAGGAACAAAAAAAAGCAACAAAAATCCCTCATATACTTTAGTACCCAAACAATTTTCTTTCTTTCCTCCATTTTATCTCCAACATAGTTTTCTTCCCTTCAGCTTGACATTTATTTGACTTTTTGATGTCTATTTTTAATTTTACCCTAACTTGCAGAAATATGTAATCAACATAAGTAATCCTCCAACAGTATCTCCATTATCTCTTTAATTCAATTAATTTCTGAAGGTATTTAGGGCTTATTTACTTTCTGCTTTGTCATGTACATAATATATATGATTTCATAGCCTTTTAAAAAATTTCAACGTTATTTATCTTGGTATACACTGGATGCCCTCCAAAATAATCTTGTTTGGAAGTCATCTTGTACTATATTCATAAGTTAATTCATTACTTCATTCAAAATTCTTATTGAGCACCTATTATCTGCTAGGTGTTGTGCTAGGTAGAGGGGCTAAAGAGATAAAACAGACGGCTGGGTGCGGTGGCTCATGCCTTTAATCCCAGCACTTTGGGAGGCCGAGACGGGCGGATCACGAGGTCAGGAGATGGAGACCATCCTGGCTAACACGGTGAAACCCCGTCTCTACTGAAAATACAAAAAATTAGCCGGCCTGGTGGCGGGCGCCTGTAGTCCCAGCTACTCGGGAGGCTGAGGCAGGAGAATGGCGTGAACCCGGGAGGCGGAGCCTGCAGTGAGCTGAGATCGCGCCACTGCACTCCAGCCTGGGCGACTGAGCGAGACTCCATCTCAAAAAACAAAAAAAAAAAAAAAAAAGAGAGAGATAAAACAGACTAGTGTGACACCTTCATTTGTTGAGGTTAAGTTTTCATTTTTACACATATGAACAAATAAGGACTGTTTAGGACATGACAGGCACAGAGATAAAATATTAAGCACCGTGAAGGGCCCAGAGAAAAAGAGCAGATTGTGATAGATTTGTTGGAGAAAATCCAAAGGGAGATGGGACTTGATATCAGCCTAACAGGTAAACAATGCTTCTAATTAAACATGCTGCTATGGATATTTTTAATAGCTCCCCTCCTTTACAAAGTACAGAAAGCAAGCAGAGAAAGAGTCACAACCCCAAACTATAAATTGTGAATACCTACTGTACTGGACTAAGATGAGAGATGAAAGAAATCAACATATATCCATCTCCTTAGATTTATGTCAGGCTGGAGATATTTTGACAGTTAAATGTCACAATTCTGAGAAGTGTGCACACCATCTTTTTAACAGAGGGATGAGATGCAGAAGTCGTGGCAAGTCTTGGGAGAGTCAGAGGAATGTCCCAAGAGAGCCTTATCTACTACCATAAAACGTTAGGAAAAGTTGAGCAAAACAGGAGTAATCTTTCCTCACAAAAATGAGCCTGGATGACAACTGGAAATGCAGCGGTATGGAGTATCTCCTAATCTAGGGAACTGCCACTTAAGAAGGGTCTCCACAAACCATTTGTGTCCTCCTGAATGTCAAAAGCCAAGAGAAGATGCACAGAATAGAGTAACAAGCAGATTTAGTGAGGGAGATTTTAAGACTGCTTGAGGGCAAGCCCACCTCACTTCTGCAACCAGCTCCTGAGGGTTCAGCAAACAGCTACCCCAGATAACATTGCCTCTATTTAGTAAAGAGAGGCACTAGCACACAAAATTAAGAAAAGAACATAAGCAAAATACAGCTGATAAAATTCTACCAAAAGATCAGATTTTTCAATTTTCCCTAAAAATAGAAAAAATCTCAATGCATGTTCCATAAAAATACAAACACCATGACGCCTCTAGGGGTTACAAAAATGTGAAAAATGACCACAAAGCAAACAGAAAAACTGAAGAGACAGCAAAAAGAGAGGAAAAACAAGCTGGCAGAACTCAGAAAAAAAATAGAAAGAAAAAATAAAGGCTTTATTAGAGAAGTGAGCTGCTTTGGAAGCAACAAAATACAAAATAAACAAGAGCGAAAACATATTTAGAAACATGCAGGAGAGACTTGAGGAAATTGCACAAAATGAAACAAAAAGAACAAAAATAGGAAAGCAATTAGAGAAGAGATGATTAAGATGGAGACAAAGGCATCAACATAGTGATAAAATGTGATTCTGAAGAAAAAATAGAAATATGGAATAGGCATAAAATATTCATCATTACCCAAGTTGTTGTTCAAGCATGAAGGCTAAAGACAGGTGATCTCCTGCTTGCAGTAACTACTACGGGAATACAGCACACATGACCCTTTCCTGAAAAAGAAACTCCTTTGCAAGATGCAGTCATAAAAAGAAGAATCAAAATAAAAACTCCAATGGAGTAAACATGATAAAGCTACTTACATACAGAAACAAAGTCTTCAATTCTGAGAATTACAGATATAAAACAGAATGCAACTATTATAAATATTAAAATGTTAAATATATATATATTTATTTGACAAATTTGGGGAGGAGAAAAAACAGTGTATCACTTGTCTTTCACAGTAGGGAATATATAGGTAGTGCTTAGTGTTGAAACATGAAGTTAAAAAAAGTTATATTCTTTTAATTTTTCATAACTTTTAATTATTTTCATTTAAAATAATTACTTTGAAACTTTATCATTATAAATAAAATTTCATGCAAAGTTTAATCATTTATTTTGAGGAACTTATTTAAAGAAAAGGATGTGATAACATTGAAGTTATCAACAGAATTCAATAACTATCATTGATATTAGACAAATGTATATAAAACGTGATTTGAAAACATCACTTATATAATCAAAATCCATTTCTTTGAAAATCTATGGAAGGATAGAGGGAATTTTCAAGGTTTTACATAAGAAGACAGCTACAGAGAACCAAACGATAAGAACGGAAAAACTTTAGATTAACAACACAGAGAAAGAAGAAAGGTATGAAGAAGCAATGAGTGAAACTATCCAAGTACAACGTGGAGTAGATTTTTCCATGACTAAATAAAAATTGTAGCATATAAACAAATGAATATAAAAATGTGGGTTTTGTGGCCTAAAGTGCATGAATTTACCCTTGTTATATAAGAACTCTGGGAAATCTTCTTCCTTCAGGTTTTAGTTTTCTTATACATAAAAATAGAATCATTTCTCTTCCATGCTTAAAAAAGTGTGTTTGATTTTAAAGTTATTGCAGGGAAATACTTTTTACTCTATGCATGAAATAAATTGAATATAAACAAATATTCTTGTTTGTCAAGTCCTAGAGGTGTCAAGGTATATTGGTGTGTCCATTTTGATGAATGCTAAAAATATGGTTTATTTTAAAATTCATTAGAAATAAGATTGTTGCTTTTAAAAGCAGTATTGCTTTCCAAGTAGAGCAGATTTAGTAAGTAAAAATGCACTTGTTCTATGGCCATCAAAAATACAGCAAAAAGAACTATATGAATGAGCAGTGGTCAATTTTATGAACTTGCAGGAAATATGAACTTAGAAGATTTCAGATCTCTATAGTGCTTTACCTAAGGATAGTATTCTCCTCTCCAAATTTTTAATTCAATTTTATCTGATATATGGGTACCTGGGAAATCAAACACAGATTTAAAAGTATGGCATATCAAATTGGATATTAGGTACTAATTGAATATTAATATTAGACATAAATATCTAATTAACATGATTTGTTTGCTTGCTAATAAATAATCAGCAAATTTCTGTCATTTAAGAGCTTAATTTTTCCTACATGTTATTATAAATAATTTAAAACATAACCAAAAAAGCTGAAAGAATTGTATCTACCATTTAGATTTTACAATCAACATTGACTACACTTTTTTATCACATAGCTATTCATCTATTCATCCTCTATCTATTGATCAACCATCTTATTTTTTATCCATTTTAACTTTCACCCCATACACATCCGTGTGCATGTCATTTACTAGAGTTCAATATTTGTTTAGTTCTTTTTTCATTTATGTAAAATTTATATACAATAAATGCACAAGTCTTAATTGTGTCACTCATTGACTTTTTATAAAAATACATACCTTTGTAACTCAAACCTCATCAAGATATAAAACACTCCGTCATCCCAGGATGTTCCTTTCTGCACCTTTTCAGTGAATCCCTATCCCCACAACCATCCCTCAAATGTAACCACTGTTCAGACTATATGTCACCATTGATTAGTTTTGCCTTTTCTAGAACTTCATAGAAATAGACTCACGTGGTAAGCTTTGGTAGAAGGCTTCTTTCACCAGGTGATAAAATTTTTAACTGTTATTCATTAAGAGTTTTTTTTATGTCTATGAACTCAATATTTCAATGAAAGCATAAGAATAAATAGAATATTCATAACAAGAATGAATAGAATATTCATAACAAAAATGAATAGAATATTCATTCTGGTTATTTCTAAGTTTAATAGAATCTTGATATAACACAAGGAACAGAGGATGAGTCTGTGTACTTTCTGAAATCTTTTCACCAGTGGTATATGTCCCACATTTGAAGAAACATGGAAAAATTCAGTTTTGAATCCTGACTTTACTCTCCCATTATTCTGTTGGTAGACAAGTTACTTAACTTTTATTGACCTGTTTGCTTAACCATCACTGGGATAGTAAGATCTGTCTCATAGAGTTATTGTGCAGAATAAATGAGAAAACTTATGTAAAGTGCTTAATGTAATACCTGGAACATAGGAAGAATGAAATAACTGATAGCAATTCTTATCATAATTAGAAACGTATAACTTAGTTCTTATGTCTATTCTAAGCGAATTAACACATTTAATACTCACAAAAACTATGAGGTAGAAACTATTATTATCTCAATTTTTATATTATGAAACTAAGATATAGAGAGCTTTAATTATTTTTCCAGAATATACACTAAGTGATAGAGCAAGTTTCACACTGAAGCAGAGCTCTCCAGACCTCTAACTCATACCGCCTCTTGGTAGTTTAGTAGTGCTCTGTAATAAACTGGTGTGAGGAATAATGGTAGAGTAAGAACTGTGAGTAGCAGTAATAGTAGTAGTGTTGGACTAATATTAGGAGAAATGGAAAGAATCAGAAGGACACTAAATCTCAGAGTGAAGTAAGAAGGAGACTCTACAAACAAAAGGAAATCCTAAAAGAATCAAGAGAAGGAGGAAGAGGAAGAAGAAGTAAAGGAGGAGAAGAAAAATAATGAGAAGGGGGGAAAGGATGAGGGAGAGGAGTAGGGAAGCAGTAAGGATTATTTGCTAATTTCCCTGTTTCTATTTCTATCAATAAGTTCATTACTTAAGGAACGACTAGAGTTGGAAGTTTCCTAGGTCACAGGATTGAGTCTTCCTGGAGCTGTCAGGCTAAAGCAATTTTACCTTCATGGGCTTCAACATGTTAGTCGAGAGGGCACGGAAATTCTAAAATTAATCCACTAAAAGAAATAGATTTTTGTTGATTTATCTACACTTTCTTTTGTCTTTTAATGTCATTTTTCTGATTGTATAAATAGAGTGTGCTATTTATGGAAAAACTTCAAGATATGGAATAAAACAAAGTTGAAAAATGTCATTCTTTTATTGTCAGAAGAAATACTTTAATTATTTTATAAATATATATGTTTTAGCTATCTATTGCAGCATAACAAATTATCCTATGATTTACTTGCATAAAACAATAGCAATTATAATCTAAAGTTTCTAGAGATTAGGAACCTGGGCATGGCCATAATGAGTCCTCTGTTTCAGGATCTCTCACAAGGCTGGAATCAAATTTCAACTGGGGCAGGATCCTTTCCAAGCTCACTCAGTGGTTGTTGACAGGGTTCAGTTCCTTGCAGGCTGTTGGAGTGAGGATCTCAACTCCTCATGAGCTGTTGACCAGAACTTATCCTTAATTCCTTGTCACAGAGAACTCTTCAAGATGCCAACTTGCTTCATCAAAGCCCTCAAGAGAATTTACAAGCAAGATGGAAGGAAGTCACAGCTTTTTGTAAGCTAATCACAGAAGTGAGATTCCACCACTTTTGCTGATTCTTATTTATTAGAAGTGAGTCACTAAGTCTAGCTCACTCTCAAGGGCAGTGGATTACAAAAGAGAATAAATACTAGGAGGTGTGGATCATTGAGAGTCACCTTGAAAGCCTGCTCACCTTATATATAACCATTACTTAACTTCTGTATAACTCTGTTTCTTCATTGGTAAAACAGAGTACACAATTAGAGAGGTGAGCATACAGTTTTACTCACCTCTCTAATTATTCCCTTATGATAAACTCCCAAAAGTGAAATTGCTAAGCCACAGAATACATGCTCTTTTAATAACATCCTCGAATTACTTTTCGATAAAGTTATGTTACTTTATCTTCTCAGCAGGGAATGACAGTGTCTATTTCCTCAAACCCTCACCAATCCTTAAAAATTTCATCTTAATAACTGATGATAACTTGAAAATCATGAAACATTGCATTTTCATTTAAATTTATATATTCTTATTGTTGATGCTGAACTTTTAAAATATCCATATTGATAATATAAATTTTTCTTCTGTAAATTATCTATTTATATTCTTTCCCATTTTTAAGAGGGACATATTCTTTGAATTGTGGCTTTGTAATTATATTTTTATTTATTTATTTATTTATTTATTTATTTATTTATTTATTTTGATATGGAGTCCCGCTCTTGTGGCCCAGGCTGGAGTAAAGTGGTGCAATCTTGGCTCACTTCAACCTCTGCCTCCCAGGTTCAAGCAATTCTCCTGCCTCAGCCACCCAAGTAACTGGGATTACAGGTGCACGCCACCACACCTGGCTAATTTTTGTATTTTTAGTAGAGATGGGGGTTTCACCGTGTTGACCAGGCTGGTCTGGAACTCCTGACCTCATCATCCACCTGCTTTGCCCTCCCAAAGTGCTGGGATTACAGGCATGAGCCACAGCGCCTGGCCAGTAATTATATATTTCTGTAACGTAAATGCCTCTGGAAATATTGCTGCATTGAGATTTTAGCAGACTTTCAGCAGATAGGATAATTTATTCCCCCTATGAGAAAAGGATGCTGAGAAGACTAAGGAATTCATTCTTTCTCTCTGGAAAGATAAAGTTGTGCATTTGACCCCATTCTTGAAAGACAGACAGGGAAGTATTGATTTTCTAGCTGCTAAATCATACCTAATGAGGGCTTTTCAAGGGTTTTGGGGCTCCAGCAACAAGCTGAGTGAACAACATCAATGGCATAGCAGTTTCAGGAAGTGCTTTACCAAAGCAGAAAACATAAGCAATTGAAGAATGAAGTAGTCCATAAATGCTCGAAAAAGGTATTGCCAACCAGAAAGGACAAGACAGATGAAACATCTGAGAGCTGAAATGATGTTCAAAAGGGGCAGAAATGGGATCAAAGCATAGATAAGTGGAACACTTGTTTAAGAACCCATCTCAAAAATATGACCCATCTCTTTTGACACTTACCTTATGTACAAATGGCCTAGAAAGTGTCTGTAAAGTTGAAGAAGCACACTATGCACTTTCCAAGGGCAAGAGCTTCCCTGTTCATCTTTATATGCAGAGTGCTAACTACAATGCCAAGCTGATTAATAGGTGCTAAAGAAATATTACTAGATTTACTAAAGAATTAAAGTAATAGCACAGTCAGGAAGAGGCGCAGGTGGGTGCAGTAGTGACACGTGGATGCATGGGGGAAGGAAGACAGAGTAATTATTGGTGAAGAAGTGGCTCTCAAAATCAATCTTACAATGCAAGACAAGATTAGTAGCTAGCAAACTTCTAGTTGAAAAATCCATGAACCAAGAAGGTTAGGGTTGATAGGTGTGGCAAACCACCATGCCACACATTGTCCTATGTAACAGACCTGCACGTTCTACACATGTATCCTGGAACTTAAAGTAAAATATAATTTTTTTAAAAAATGTAAAAAAAAGAAGATTAGGAAAACAGATGCCGAGAAACAATAAAGGGATACCTTGGTATTTGAATAAACACCTGCTTCAGCCAGAATGCATCATAAATTTTAGAATCCATGACAGGAAGCATTTTTCAAGTGGATTAGTCATTCATTTACTTATTCAATAACTATACATTGAGCAGCCAGTATGTGATGCTACTCACCGGGTATATGATGATGAACAAAGCACGTGCTATAACTTCAAGATGCAAACAATCACAATGAAGCTTAAAGGCCATGATGAGATAAGGAGATAATTTTTAAGGAGTTCCAGTGAGGAAGCCCAACCCAGCCTTGGAGGTGAAGAAGGCTTCCCAGAGGAGATGAGTCAACTGTTTTGTTTTGTTTGTTTGTTTGTTTGTTTTACCATGGAATCTCCAGTACGTAGGAGGGTTCCTAGTAAATAAACAGTCATTGAATGAAAATAAATGAATGAATGATGATGATGCTGCTATAGTTTGATTATAAATTACAGTTTAATGTGAGACGTTTTCAACTCCAGATTGGTTTCTGGCTGATATTTTTGTATCTATTGTCCAACTTCCTTGCTTGCCAATAATTTGTGGTCAGCAAATAAAAATCAGTGTTAATATTAGCATATGTTAAACACAATTAAGAATGAAAATCAGCAAGAAATAACAATGCTATGCCTTCCAAAATCAAATATTTTTCTTATATTCGTACAGCATTCTCAACCAGGGGCAATTTTGCCTCCCAGGGGATATTTAGCAATGCCTGAAAACATTTTTGATTGTTGGGACAGGAGGAATTCTACAGACATCTGGTGGGTAGAGACCAAGAATGCTTTAAACATACTACAATGCACAGGACAGCCCCCCCCACAACAACAAAAACCCAGCTCCAAATGTCAGTATTGTTAAGGTTGAGAAATCATGGATTTTCAGAAATCAGGGTTTGTGCTTATTTGGCACAGACCATCAAAAGATGGTTTTATCTTTGAACTCTTAAAACACTTCTAGCTCTCAAAGTCCATGTTTAATTACAATGAATGTATTTGGCTCCGTAATAGAACAAAATACATTAGGAAGCATGAAGGAGAAAATGGAGTTTGGCTCTGGGACAAAGGACATACGAAAGGTTAGCCATTTCCCTGCTGCTAAAATGAGATGAAATATTAGAGCCAACTTTTCTCTTGTTTTCTTTGCAGAATGAAGCCTGGGAAAAATTAACAAGTAGAAAATTGTTGTCTATGGCATTTCTCCTGACTTATCCCTCATTATTTGTACTCATTCCCGTCTTCTTCTTTATGTCTTCTCTTCATGTGCAGTCAGCTCATACATAAAGGGCCCAATTAATTGTATTGCCCGTCGTCACCTACTCTTTCAAAATTGCCTTTCTCTGGGTGTCCTGTTCTTAACACTTGAGAGAGACTCACATCAGTGGCAATTGCTGGCAATAGCTTTGATGTTACTACTTGATAACTGGATTTTCATTTTTAAAAGGATGGTATATGCTTAACCCAAAGTAATTGATTAATAATGGTAGGATTTCAAGCAGTGATTTGCAAGAGCATGGCTTTAACTTCACTTTGTTCTTTAGGATTGAATTTGTATGTAAATTCTAACTGTATAAACGTAAGATACTATAACCAAGGTTGGTCTTCATCGTTGGCAACAGTACTGGCTGCAGTTAACCACTAGTAGTGGTTAAAGTACTAAAATACTTCCATACTTATAGATATACAGCTACTGCCCTAAACCTCCTGAATGTGCAGAATTATCCCTGTTGACCCAGCCCCACTGCACACCTTTCTCCAACTGCCCACAATCCAGCAACTACGAGGTAAATGCCTGCCCCTGTTGGTGCCGTCTGGCTCCAGCAGCTTCTGCTCTGATTCACAGGTTCCCGGTTGTTAAGTTGTTTCAACAGTGCCTTGATTATATCTCCAGCTACAATCACTGTAGCATTGTTTTTATTGTCATTTTTGTTGGTGAAGGTGGAGCTTATCTTCTTAGACTCCATTAAGTAAAAGTAAGTGAAAGCTTCTTTTCCTTGTTGTTTGGGTACTTGTTTGAATGTTTTCAAGGGAAACAGAAAATCTTAGGTATGAACCAAATTTTGGCATTTCACAATAATTCTTCTTAAAGGTTTAAGAATTAAATAATGAAACACATACACATGTATCTTTGTTCAAGAAAATTAATTATAGTAAAATATCCATTGCAAAATATGTGGCCATTCTGTTTGTGTCTCTTTCAAATGTGAAATATATACATAATGGTATAAGTTAAGCACACATTTCTGACTCATAGGAATAAGAAATATAATGTAGTGATGTGTACATGAAGAAAAAATAATAAATGAGGAAACGAGGAACATGAAACAAATAGTTTAATTCTAAGAGTACTAAAAACATAATGAGAGATTATAATATAGAAGCATGATAAAGGGTGAATGACATCATTCAACTTGCAAGCCATAAAATTCATTCAAAAATAAGTCTTCAATTTCAAGACTCTAAAGATACTTTAATATGAATATAATTATTATTAAACAATTCTAATCAATACAAAAAGTAAAAAGACAAGTGTAAAAAATAATTCCAAGTCTCATCACTTAGAAGCATCATCATTAACATTAGGTGAAGCTCATTCTAGATGTTGCTCAATTAGTACATATGCAGACAAAAAGATAGATGGATAAATGGTTTAGATATATAAGATAGGTGATAGATTGATACAGAGCATATTAAATTTTATTTAAATAATTATATGATATTTACTTAAAATTTTTAAAAAGCAAAAGAATTTTTGAAGCTAAAAGACTTTGCTAAACTTTATACAATGTTCAAAAAATTTGAGGGCTATCCATTTCTAGAATTTCTATGGATAAGGGAATAAGATTATGCAAAACATTAGGAGATTGTACAGTTTTAAAAAATATTTGTTTCCCTTTTTCTGGCCACCCTATTTCTTCCCTATCATAAAATATTTTGAAATTGGTATACTTTTTTATAGCTCCGTTTCCCAGTTCCTGATCTTTGTTAGTTATTATGTAACTTTTTCTAACATAACCATTATCCTCCCACTTGCCTAATTTAAGTTCTACCTTTAAATGGAGCCCACACCAATGTTCAGCTTTTTCAGTAAATTCATATACAATTATTCTGCTGTTTTGTGATTGATTTAGCAACTGTACATCATCTATTGACTTTCTATAATGAACTGCGAAGATTTAGCCCACTTTTACCACTTCTGCCATGTGTGTTTCTCTCCCTACATCATCTCATTATTGTTTTACCATCATTTATTAAATCAGTGTTCAGTGCTCACATTAATATGACTATGTAAATATTTTTTTCAAATCTGGGCTATTATTACATTTCTTTCCTACTCAGCTTATTTTCTTAAGTTAGTAATTGTCTTGCTTTTCTGTTAATAACCCTAATTCTTCCCAAATTCAGTTTCAGTTTCCATGTCAAGTAATTGGTTAAATCCATTTCTTCCTCCCAGAACAGTCACTCCTGGAGCCCTCTGGTCTCTTGAGCCAGTCATCTAGTCACTCTCTAAGTCTGTTGCAGTATCTTCTACCTTGAAATTTCCTATAGATTTGATTCTGAGGATCCTCTTTTTCTATGTCCAGTGATGGTGGCCTTGTTTCTTAAATCTTGAGTCTTCTTGTTTACATGGAGTGCATTCTGAGGAAGGAAGCATAGGAGGTAAATTTTTAAGATCCATGCATCTGAAAATGTTTTTATTCCATCCTCACACCTTAAAGATAATTTGGCTGCACATCAGTTAGAAACTTCTTTCTGAAATTTGGAGGCATTTACCCATTATCTCCCAGGTTCCACAGTTTAGCTGCTATAGTACCAGGTGCCAATTTGATTCCCCAGGCTTTATAGGTAACTCTTTCCCACCTCTCTTAAAGTCTAGTGTTCTGAAACTTCAGGTTCTGAATTGGTGCAGGTATTTTTTCATTCTTCTGCTGGGTACACAGCACAGTGGGCCATTTCAATTTGGACGACCTTCACATATAACTCTTCTAGAGGGATTTTTTTTTTATTCAGCAATCATACTTTCAATTTCCAAAGAGCTCTTTCTTGTTTCTTATTGTTCCTTTTTTAATCGTCTGATCTGGTTTTATGAATTCAATCTCTTTTCTTAACTTTCTGAAGCTGTCAATTATAGTTTTTATGTTCTTTCTGTTCTTTTCAATGTCATGCTTTTCTCTATGTCCTTTTTCCTGTTTGTTTGGGTTTCAGTGTTCCGACTTCAAGGCTCTCCTCGAAAATCTTGTGATCCCTTGGTGTCTGGTATTTTGAAAGCATATTGGAAGCTATGTGCTTGTGCTTGGGTGTAACTGGCTGGCAGCCTTCATGGTAGAGTGAAGTAGTTGACGCCAGATCTCTTGGGCCAATCAGTTTTTCTAGAGCAGTGGTTCTCAAATCTTGAGTTTGATATTCACACCTGAGTGCTTCAGAATCACTTGGATGTCTTGTTAAAACAAAAATTGCTAGGCCCCACACTTGGATGTTTTCAGTCAGTGCACAGAGTCTGAAAATTTGCATTTGTAATAAGTTTCAGGTGATACTGGTGTTGCTGGGCCTGAGGCCACAATCAAGAACCATTTGTCTAGAGAAAACTCAATCCAATTTCCTGCCTAGTGGGAATACATCTGTTAACAGGAACAAAAAACAAAGCAATCAGACAGGGAATCTCACTCTTCAGTACTGTGTTTCCTCTAAAACCTTCAGTTTTAGGAAGATTCTCATTTCAGACCTCCACTGTACTCCGTGTCCTGCAAATCACAGGTCTCTAGTAATTTCATCAGAGTAGAAACCTCATCCTACCCATGGGTCTAACTGCCTCTTAAGAAGATTTCAACCAGGCCTGGTCTTCTCAGGCAAGCCTCACACCCTTACCTCCTGAGATCCAGCTTGCCGCAAATTCTTGCATTTTTCTAAGATTCTGCAACTTGAATTCTTATTGACATCCTTCTGTTCAGGCACTCAGGTTTCATCTTTCCCCATGCTTAGTCAATTACCACTCTCCCACCTGCTTTCTATTTCCTCACTTTGTTAAGAGTTCATCTAATATTGTCTCTTATTTCCACTTTCTTTTTAATGACGTTTATATTTTTTTGAAAGCTACATTATCTTCATGGGGCTCCAAAAAGGAGCAGACTTAAATGCATGTGCTCAATATGCTCTGTATTATTAGAAATCTCCTTTCTCTTCTTGTTTTTCCCTTCTCTTCTTGTAGCTTCCTTTGACTACAAGAAAACTAAGTCATAAACAACAAATGTAGCCATAGGTGTCTCTTTTATGGGAACAACTCTCTCTTATCCCAGCTACATCCATATGCTCAGATTGTGCTCTCACCTTTAGGAACTAATGCGACCTCCTTAAGGTTTTGAAAAGAGTTATGGGTCACCTTTTTTGGCCCCTTTATTTACTTTGGTTATATTTGACGGTATTTGATTCACAGTTTATTATTTGGATTGTGGATATGCTCATATTTCATTGAGGGTAAAATTTTTTTCTGTAATTTTCATTTGCTGTCAATATTGGTAAATTTCAAGAAAAAAGACTGGAGTCTAAATTGTATTCTGCCATCTGTAATTGAAATTTTCATTTCTAAGAATTTTAAATGCCCTGAAGTTTTATTTATGCCAGCTTGAGGTAAAATGAAAATTAAGTACTGAGAAATTCTTCAAGCCCCCTAAAAGAATATTTCCTTCTAATAGTTATGCAATTTTATTTTTTGGGGGGGGTCATTTTTTAAAGAATTTTATGCCAGCAAAATTTAACCTGAACCATGTAATATACCACTTTAATATTTAAGTTTACTCATTATTGAGTTTAAATATAATTTTACTTTCTATAGGAACATATATATGATAGGTAGGAAGTATAAATTTAAAAAATCTTTATAAGGATAAGCCAATAAAAATGCAACAAATAATTTTTCAGATTTTCTCAGGCGATGCCTGCTGGTGTTAGATATTAAAAGATATTATCTAAACCCATGAATGCAAAAAGGGATTTCAACAAGTAAATGCACGCTTGATAGGTTTGTTGCCCCATTTGTTTTCTGTCACCATAAGCAGGTGACTAGTAGGAGTACACAAGAGGAAAATACAAGTATGTGAAAATAAAACAGGCTCCTAATGTACTGCTGAAATCCTGAAGTTTACGGGATGAATAGATGATCAGTAACTCCATTTTTTAAAAATTTTGTCTACATTTAAGTTGTAGTCCTTTCTCTGTTTTGTATTGTTTTCCTCAAGAGCCAGTGAAGTTTTTTAAAGCAAGAATTTTAGCAATGTCAAGTGGAATTCAAACCATGAGAAATAAATAGTTCTGGATTATTATAAAGTTTATGCAATATATCAGAAACTGTATTTTTACTAATAGGGACTTTGCAAGTTAATCATAAAGGAATTTAACAAAGAAACAAATTACTGCAAATTGAGAATAAGAAGTAGAGAAATCAGTGAATAATGTACAGCCCATTATTTGGAATGAGTAGGTTGGGCACTTTAATATATCATCATATAGCATTTTCCTCTTTCTCTCTCATTTTCATTATAAAGTTTTCCTTGACTGAGTCTTAGAGTCTTGTTTGTATTTATAGAGGACCTTTATCTTCTTTGAGGTTTCCAAGACATATTTTCCTGTCCACCTTCCTACCATCTCAAAATTATTTTTAAAAAAATACTATTTGAGACTGTTTTCAAACTATTTGAAAGGGAATGTATGAAAAGTAAATGATTCAGGAAAGCACCTAGTTCATTAGGCTAGAGAGTGGCCAAAGGCTTATTTACAAATCCAGGCATATCTTGTTTTATTGTGCTTCAAGTCATCACACTTAGCAGATGTTCTGTTTTTTACAGACTGGTTTGTGACAACTGCACCCAGCAAGTATATCAGTGCCATTTTTCCAAAAGCACGTGTTCATTTCATGTATCTGTGTTATAATTTGTTAATTCTCGCACTATTTCAAAACTTTTAATTATTTTTATATTTTATATCTGTTGTGGTGATTTGTGATCTTTGATGTTACTATTGTAATTGTTTTGAGGTACCACAAACCACACCCATGTAAGACATCAAACTTAATCAATAAATATAGTCTGTGTTCTGACTGCCCCATTGACCAGCCTTTCCCTCATCTCCCCCACTCTCCTTGGTTCTCCATATTCCTGACATACAGTAATATTAAAGTTAGGCCAGTTAATAACCCTGCAATGACCTCTATGTGTTCAGTAAAAAGAAGAGTCACACATGTCTCATCTGAAGCCAAAAGCCAGAAATGACTAAGCTTAGTAAGAAACAAAACGAGAGGTAAGCCAAAAGCTAGTCATCTTGCGCCAGCTAGCCAAGTTGTAAATGCAAAGGAAAAGTTCTTAGAGGAGAGTAAAAGTGCTACTCCAGTGACTTCATGAATGACAAGACAGTGAAACAGCCTAATTGCTGATGTGGAGAACATTATAGTGGTCTGTAAGGAAGATCAAACCAGCCACAACATTCCCTTAAGCCAAAGCCTAATTCAGAGCAAGACCCTAAATTTTTCAATTTAGGAAGGCTGAGAGAGGTGAGGAAGCTGTGAAGAAAAGTTTGAAGCTAGCAAAAGTTGATTCATGAAGTTTAGGGAGAGAAGATGTTTCCATAACATAAAAGTGCAAGATGAAGCAATAAGTGCTGGTACCAAGTGCAATCACAAGTGCTGCAGCAAGTTATCCAGAAAATCTGGCTAATATGATGTACCAAGGTGGCTACACTAAACAACAAGTTTTTCAATGCAGATGAAACACCCTTATATTGGAAGAAGATACCATCTAGGACTTTCATAGCTAAAGAGGAAAAGTCAATGACTGGCTTTAAAGCTTCAAAGGATGGGCTGACTCGTGTTAAGGGCTGATATTGCTGGTGACTTTAAATTGAAGCCAATGCTCATTGATTATTCCAAATATCCTAGGGCTCTTAAGAATTATGCTAAATCTACTCTGCCCATGCTCTATAAAGGTAACAACAAAGCCTGGATAACAGCATATCTGTTTATGACAGTTTCCTGAACATTTTAAGCCCACTGTTGAAACCCACAGCTTAGAAAAAGAGTCCTTTCAAAATATTACTGCAAATCGACAATGCGTCTGGTTACCCAAGAGCTCTAATGGAGATGTACAAGGAGATGATTATTGTTTGTATGCTTACTAACACAATATCTATTCTGAACCCATAGATCAAAGAGTCATTTTGACCTTCAAGTCTTATTATTAAGAAATACATTTTGTAAGGCTCTAGTTGCTCTAGATAGTGATTCCTCTGATGAATCTGGGCAAAGTAAATTGAAAACCTTCTAGAAAGGATTCACCATTCTAGATGCCATTACAATCATCCATGATTCATGGGAGAAGGTTATCAACATTAACAAGATTTTAGAAGAAGTTGATTCCAACACTCATGGATGATTTTGAAGGGCTCAAGACATCAGTGGAGGAAGCAACTCTAGATGTGGTGGAAATAACTCTAGATGTGGTGGAAATATCAAGACAACTAGAATTAGAAGTGAAGCCTGAAAATGGGACTGAATTGCTGCAACCTCATGATAAATATTCAACAGATGAGGAGTTGCTTCTTATGAATGAGCAAAAAAAATTGGTTTCTTGATATGGAATCTACTCCTGGTAAGGATGCTCTGAACATTGTTGAAATGACAACAAAGGATTTAGAATATTACATAAATTAAATTGAGAAAGCAGTGGAAAGGTTTAAAAGGACTGGCTTCAATTTTGAAAGAACTTCTACTGTGGGGAAAATGCTATCAAACAGCATCACATGCTACAAAAAAATCTTTCATGGAAAGAAGGGTCAATTTCATTGTTGTCTTACTTTAAGAAATTGTGACAATCACCCTAATCTTCCACAACCACCAAGCTGATCAGTCAGCACCATCAACATTGAGGCAAGGCCCTTCACCAGCAAAGAGATTATAAATCACAAGGCTCAGAAAATCATTAGCACTTTTTACCAAAAAATATTTTTAATTAAGGTATGTACATTCTCAGACATAATGCTATTGCATACTTAATATACTATAGTATAGTGCAAACATATTTTTATATGCACTGAAAAAGCAAAAAATGTGTGACTTACTTTAGTGTGATGCTCAGTTCATTGTGGTGGTCTGGAACTGAACCTGCTATATAATCAAAGTATGCCTGTATGACCAAATGAATCTTTCACATTTCTTTGTGTAAACAGAGCCAAACATTTCTCACTACTAAATTCTAAATGCTGAAAAGTCTTGAAACCAACAAACAAGGTTATCTTTCATTCTGAAGTATGTCATCTATCTCTTACTTATATTTTCTCCATATTTTATTCCTCAATGCACTTACATCAAATGGGAACTTCTTAGAACCAAGAGGGTTTTTTTTGTTGTTGTTTTTTGTTTGTTTGTTTGTTTTTGGTTTTTTTGAGATGGAGTCTCGCTGTGTCACCCAGGCTGGAGTGCAGTGGCCGGATCTCAGCTCACTGCAAGCCCCGCCTCCCGGGTTCATGCCATTCTCCTGCCTCAGCCTCCCGAGTAGCTGGGACTACTGGCGCCCACCAATTTTTTGTAGTTTTAGTAGAGACGGGGTTTCACCGTGTTAACCAAGATGGTCTCGATTTCCTGACCTCGTGATCCGCCCTCCTTGGCCTCCCAAAGTGCTGGAATTACAGGTGTGAGCCAACGCTCCAGGCCAGAACCAAGAGTTCTTGATTTTCCTATTAAGCAATAGACTTTGCATTTAAATTAGTATTATTACTAAGTTCTGCATCACAATTTACAGATAATAGGCCCCTAGTAAATGTTAGTTTTCTTTTTAAAAATTTCTTTCATTAGTTAAAATCATTAAACTCCTATTAAAACAAGGAAATCATTCTGTCTGTACTATTTTGAGTTTTTCTGAGATCTTTTTAAAGAGAATACTTTGGAAATGTTTCTCAAGATCTTTTAAAAAATACACAGATGCTTTTAAAACTTCAAGAACAACAGAGCTACAAAGTGCAATTTCAAGTCTTCACATCTACAGGTGATATTTTCGCAACTTTGTCATGAAAACTTATCTATCTTTAAATATATTCTAGTTAGTTTCAGTTAAAAATAAACCTAATTTAATAGCTGCTCAGGGCATTCAAATTTGCTTACTGAAGCACTAACACAAGGGAAATTACACTGAGGAATTTTTTTATTTGAAAACATTTTTCCCGTTAGTACCCAATTAAAAATGCACAGAATGGTAAGAGGAAAAATAAAGAGTAAATGTGGCTCATGAGAAACCTGAATAAAGGCCAGGTATTTTCCAAATAACAACTGGCAGGAATCCTTTTATAAATACAAATACGTAATGGCAGTTATCAATATTGTACTGTCATACCCCAGAAAGTATTTTATTGCCAAAAAACCCACTCGAGTGTGCTGTTTTTTTAATCCTTACAATACTGTCCAAAAGAGCAATGACATACTTCATAGAAAATAAAATGTTATTTCAACTAAACTTTACTGCTGTAGTAGGGTATCTTCCGCTAATTATTGCAAAGTAATTACAGCTCTCAAGCAAGCAAATACACTGTTAAACAGAATGTGGAACTTTGGTTTTGACATAACTGTAACAAGATTAAACCACTCACTACCAAGATGAAACTACTTTATACAGAAGTGTTGTTGCAGGTACCAACACTTAGACAACTGGTGCATAGTTCAGAAATACTTTGCGACATTTACAATTGTAAGCCTACACTTTTTTCTAAAAGGAAAAAATAAAATAAAAGTCTTCCAAGTAGTGTCATTTAATATATTATCGTCAGTCTATGGTAGAAATTTGTACTTATACAATTTCCAGCCCCCAATAGTTAGGCAGGTCCATATGAGGTTCTGGTCAATAAATAGGAGCAAAAGGGATCTGTGTATCACTTATAGGTTGAAACTGTGGAGGCTTATATGTGATTCTCCAGTCTTGCTCTTGTTCTGCTGCAACAGATGTAGAGTTCTTAGTGCCTCAATGCAACTTCCTTTAAAAAAAAATGTGGTAATAACACTTAACATGAGCTGTATCCTCCTAACAAATGTTTATGTGCATAATACACTATCATTAACCATAGGCACAATATATTGTATGGCAGATCTCAAGAAATTATTCATCTTGCTTAGCTGAACTTCATACCCATTGAACAGCAACTTCTCATTTCCCATTCCTCTCTTCCAGTACCTGCCAATCACTATTCTACTCTCTGCTTCTATGATTTTGACTATTTTTGATAATGCTTATAAGTGGAATAATGAAGTATTTATCTTCATACAACAGCATTATCCTCATGCAACAGTATTATCCTTTATGCAACAGCACGTTGGCATAAAGTAGTTTCATCTTGATAATGAGTGGTTTAATCCTATTACAGTTATGTCAAAACCTTTAAGTTCCACAGTCTGTTTAATAGGGTATTTGCTTGCTTGAGAGCCACAATGACTTTGCAATAATTAGCAGAAGATACCCTACTACAGCAGTAAAGTTTAGTTGAAATAACATTTTATTTTCTAGGAAGTATGTCATTGCTCTGTTGGACAGTATTGTAACGATTAAAAAATCAGCACACTTGAGTGGGTTTTTTTGGCAATAAAGTGGTTTATTTCATTTAGATAATGTTCTCCAGGTTAACCCATGTTGTCACACATGGCAGAATTTCCTTCTTTTTCAAGGCTGAATAGTATATCATTGTGTATATGTACCACAGTTTCTTTATCCACTCATCTGTCCACAGACATTTACTTTGCTTTCAACTCTTGTCTATTGTGAATAATGCTGCAATGAACATGGGAGTGCAGATATCTCTCGGAGATACTGATTTCATTTCCTTTGGATATGTACTCAGAAGTGGGATTGCTGGATCATATAGTAGTTCTATTTTTAATTTTTAGGAATCTCCATACAGTTTTCATAGCAGCTACACCATTTTATTTTTCCACCAGTAGTGTACAAGGGTTCCAATTTTTCCATATTCTTACCAAGACTTATCTTTTTATTTATTTATTTTTAATAGCAGGCATCCTAACAGATGTGAGGTGATATCTCATGGTGGTTTTGTTTAGTGATTTAGTGATTATTGAGCATCTTTATATATATTTGTTGGCATGTGTTTATTCTTTTAGGAATGTCTATTTAATCTTATTCCTATTTTTCTTTTTTTCTTTTTTATTTATTTATTTACTTATTTATTTTTTTGAGATGGAGTCTTGCTCTGTCGCTCAGGCTAGAGTGTAGTGGTACGATCTTGGCTCACTGCAACCTCTGCCTCCCGGGTTCAAGCAATTCTCCTGCCTCAGCCTCCCAAGTAGCTGGGAGTACAGTATTTTAAGAGAGGTGCAGTTTCACCGTGTTACCCAGGCTGGTCTTGAACTCCTGAACTCAGGCAATCCATCTGCCTCGGCCTCCCAAAGTGCTAGGATTACAGGCGTGAGCCACCGCACCTGGCATGCCTATTTTTCAGTCAGGTTATTTGTTACCTTGTTTTTTTTTTTTTTGCTGAGTTGTAGGAATCCTTACATATTTTGGATGCCCACTCCTCATTAGATATATGGTATATTAGTCCATTTTCATACTTCTTTATAGCCCGAGACTGGGTAATTTATAAAGAAAAGAGGTTTAATTGACTCACAGTTCAGCATGGCTGAGGAGGCCTCAGGAAACTAATAATCATGGCGGAAGGCCAAGGGGAAGCAACAAACCTTCTTCACAAGGTGGCAGGGAGGACAAGTGCTGAGTGAACGGGGAAGAGCCCCTTATAACCTCACGAGATTCTCAGTTCTCGTGAGAACTCACTCACTATCACAAGAGCAGCATGGGATCACTGCCCCATGCATGATTCAATTATCTCCATCTGGTCTCTCCTTGACACTTGGGGATTATGGGGATTACAATTCAAGATGAGATTTGGGTAGGGACACAAAACCAAACCATATCATATAGTTTGAAAATATTTTCTCCCATTCTGCAGGTTGACTTGTGACTTTGTGATTGTTTCATTTGCTTTGCAGAAGCTTCGTTGCCTGAATGCCTAAGTCATTAGGCACAGCAAAGTTCCCCTTAATCTGCAAAGGCCATATAGATTGAACAAGAATGAAATCTTGACTTTGTTAAATCACTGGAATTTTTTTTGTGGTATAAATTTTTCAAGAAATTCTTTCATATTATACAAAACGTCTGATTTATTGACATGAAGTTTTTCATAATATTCTCTTATTATAATTAAAATATCTGTAGATCTGTAATGATGTCACCTCTTTCATTCCTGAGACTGATTTTTTCTTCTTTATTTTTCCTAATAAACCTGGTTAGATTTGAATTAATTTTTTTCTGTCTTCTCAAAGAACAAGCTTTTGTTTTCATGATGCTTCTGCATTCTTTTCTAATGTTCTATTTAGTTTATTTCTACTCCAGATTATTGTTTCCTTTCTTCTGCTTATTGTAAGTTTATTTTCATTTTATTTTGCTAGTTTCCTAAAGTGGAAACTGAGATGTCTGATTTAAGATCTTTCTTCTTTTCTAAAATAGGTGTTTAGTGCAGTAAATTTCTCCCTAAGTATTCTTTTAGTGGCACACATTTTGGTAGTGTGTTTAATTTTTATTCAGTTTAAAATAATTTCTTTTTTTAAAAAAAATGTTTCTTTGAGCCAGGAGTGCATTGACTAAGGAATGATTAGTAAATGACCTTTATTACTATCCCTGATAGTATTCTTTACATTGAAATTTACTTTGTTAGCCAGGCAAGGTGGCTCATACCTGTAATCTCAGCATTTTGGGAGGCTGAGGCAGCTGAATCACTTGAGGCCAGGTGTTTGAGACCAGCCTGGCCAACGTGGTGAAACTCTGTCTCTACTAAAAAATACAAAAATTAGCCAGGCATGGGTAGTGGGCACCTGTAATCCCAGCTACTTGGAAAGCTGAGGCATGAGAATCACTTGAACCTGGGAGGTGGAGGTTGCAGTAAGCCGAGATCACGCCACTGACTCCAGCCTGGGTGACAGAGCAAGACTCCGTCTCAAGAAAGAAAAAAAAAAAAGAAAGAAATTTACTTTGTTAAATATTAATACAAACAATTTCACTTTTGTAAGTATATTATTTAAAAGTACATTATATAGTTTCCCAATTTTTGAAGACAGCTCAACAATTTTTGTTATTGATTTCTAATCTAATCATATTTTAGAGAATACGCTTTGTAGAACCTGAAATTTTTTTTTAATTTATTAAGACTGTTTGATGGCCTAGTATGTGATATGTTGCGGTAAGTGCTCTCTGTAAATTCTGCTGTTGTTTGCTCCATAAATGTAAGCTAACACTCCAGCCTGGGCAACAGAGCAAGACACTGTCTCTTTTTTTTTTTTTTTTTTTAAAAAAAAAAGGCAGCTAGGTCAAGACAATTGATAGCAGTTTCCTAGTCATCTATCACCCTGCTGATTTTTTGTCTACTTGTTTTATCAATTAGTGAAAGAAGAGAATTAAAATTTCTGACTATACTTGTGAATTTGTATTTATCTCTTTGCAGTTCTTTTTTTCTTTCATATATTTTGAAGCTCTGTTATTAGGTAAATAAGCATATTATTTTGTCTTTCTAATTACTGTTAGAATTAGTAATTCTAAATACTAGTCCTTCTAATGTTTCATTAGGATCTAGTTATTATTAGGAGGATTATTATGTTTTTCTAATGTATTATATTGCAGGAATAATTAAGAAATAATCTTCATTATTCCTGGTGGTATTCTTTACATTGAAACTTACTTTATTCAGTATTAATATGGTCATTCCACCTTTCTTTTGGTTCACGTCAGCATGATATAAATTTTCTACTTTTTTTCTTTAAACATACTCGTATGTTTATATTTAAAGTGAGTTTCTTGTAGACAAAATACAGTTAGGTCTTGCATTTTTATCCAATATGAAAACTTTCGTCTTTTAATTGGAGCATTTAAACCACTTGCATTTTATGTTATTTTAATGGTTCAATTTAAGTCTATCTGCCTATTTACCTGTATTTGTCCCATCTTTTCTTTGTTCCCTTTTTCATCTTTTCTATCAGCATATATAGAGTGCTTTTGTTATTCTATCTTATCTCCTCGGTTAGCTTATTAGCTATGATTCTTTGACTATGTTTTATTATTACTTAAGTGCGTGCTTTTGAATTTATAGCATAACTCTTTATCAGTCTACCTTCAAGTGGTACTTTACCACTACATACATAGTATAAGAACTTTACATAGCATACTTCCATTTCTCACTTGTTGGTCTTGTCATTGTTATCACATATTATTATTGCCACATATTTTACATATGTCATTAACCATATACTACATTGTTAATATTTTTTAAAGTCAACTATCTTCTTAAAATATTAAATAAGAAGAAAAACTCTGGGGTTTTTTTTTGCTTATAACATTTGTATTCTTCATTCCTATTTAAAGAACGATATTTTCATCTTTTTTTTTTTCTATTTGGAAGACTCCTTTTAACATTTCTTGTCCTTTTCCTCTTCGTCTTTGATATTTTCTGTAGATGTAGAATTCTAGATGGACAGATTTTTTTCTTCAATATTTTAAAGAGGTTGTTCCATTATCTTCTCACTTTTGTTTTTTCTGATCAAAAATTTTCTTTAATTCTTATCTTTGTTTCTATGTATATAATATGTCCTATTGCCTTGGCTGCTCCTATGATTGTCTCTTTATTCCTGGTTTTGAGCACTTTGAAGATGTACCTCACTGTAGTTTTCATCATGTTCCTTTCACTTGAGTTTCTTGCGTCTATGGGTTTATAATTTTCCTCAAATTAAAAGACCTTTGGCTACTACATTTTCAAATATTTTTCTGCTCCCCCATTCCTATCCAGGGATTCCAATTCTATATATATTAGACTGCTTGAAGTTATCCGACTGCTCACTGACATTCAGGGTTCCTTTTTAAGCATTTTTGTCTCAGCTTGATTCACTATAGTTAGTTCCCATTACATGTCTTCAAGTTTACTAATCTTTTCTTCTGCAATGTCTAATCAGCCCTTAATCCTATACAGTATATTTTTATCCCAGGAATTGTCATTTTTATTTCTAGAAGTTTCCTTTTAATCATTTTGTACATCATGTCTGTTTAACTTCTTGAGCATACAAAATACAGTTATAATAACTGGTTAATGTCCTTATCTGCTAATTCCAACATCCATTTCACTTCTGGTTTAGTTTAAACTGATTGATTTTGCTCAATATTATGGATCATATTTTCCTGCTTCTTTTAAAAATTGGTAATTTTTATCAGATGCTAGAAATTGTGAATTTTACCATGTTGAAATCTATGTATTTTTGTATGTCTATGATTGTTATTGAGACTTATATTAGAAACAGTTTTCTTTCTTGGAAACTGATCCTTTCAGCTTAACATTAAAGTTTTGTTAAGTGAAATCAGAGCAATGCTCATCTAGAGCTAATCATTCCCGACTACTGATGGAAGACCCTTCTGTACATAGTACCAATGCCCCACTAGATGTTTTTCCAGTCTGGCTGATGGTAGCAGACACTATTCCATGCCCTGTTTGAACACCAGGTCCTGTTTCCTCTGAATATTGTTTTTCTTCCCCTGTAATTTAGGGTAGTTTTCTCACACATGTGCTAATCAGTACTCCCCTGAATTCTTGAAGCAGACTCTGCAGATCTGCAGAGTTCTTGCTCCTGTAGCTACTTCTCCAGTATTCTATTCTGTGAGCTCTATCCACTTGAGTATTCTCACACCCTCAGCTCCGTCTCAACTCAGGGAGTACACCAGGTGCTGCCCAGTGTTCCCCTCCCATTAACATGGCCTGGAAACTCTCTCGAGGCAATGATCTAGAAGTAATGGCAGGGTTCACGTCATTTGTTTCCCGTTCTCAGGGATCACTGTCTTTAGTTGTCTGATGCCCATATTTTGAAAAACACTATTTCATATAGTTTATCCAGTTCTTGGTTGTTTTAGGTGTGGTCTTGTCTTTTAGATGTTGTCTTGTGGTCTTGTTCTTGTCTTGGTTGTTTCAGGTGTGCAGAAGAATGGTAAACCTGGTCTCTGTTAATCTATCTTGACCAGGAGTAGAAGTCCAGGTCACTGGAACTTTAATTTGTTACTACAATATAATCTAATCTATGCTGATTAATATACATATATTTCCTCAACATTAGAAAGACTACAAATAGAGGGTATTTTGGCTTGAAATAAAAACAAAACCCACAGTAATTTAAGACACTAAACTTTTGTCCATATTTGTTAAAAATAAAAGGCATCACATTTTCTATCAGTAGCTAAAGAGTGGGCTTTCTTAAATACTGAGAATTCTGCATAATATGCTTTTGGAAAATAATGTGGAATTGATTTTCTTTCACCTCCAATGGACAGACTTTGCTTAGCATTGATGTGTATATATCTTAAAAATTTAGTCTTATGGCCGGGCGCGGTGGCTCACGCCTGTAATCCCAGCACTTTGGGAGGCCGAGGTGGGCAGATCACGAGGTAAGGTGATCGAAACCATCCTGGCTAACACGATGAAACCCTTTTTCTACTAAAAATACAAAAAAAAAATTAGCCGGGCATGGTGGTGGGCACCTATAGTCCCAGCTACTCTAGATACTGAGGCAGAAGAATGGCGTGAACCCGGGAGGCAGAGCTTACAGAGAGCCAAGATTGCGTCACTGCACTCCAGCCTGGGTGACAGAGTGAGACTCCATCTCCAAAAAAAAAAATAAAAATAAAAATAAAAAAAATAAAAAAAAAAACTTGTCTTGTATTTGAATAGTAGAAACCCATTTTACTATTTCTTGGGCTGGAGGGAGTAGGATAGGAACATAGGATAACTAATTCAGATTAAACTTTATAAAAGATGCACCATATGTCGATTGGTCTGAAAATTCGTAACAGAAATAGAAAGTACATCTTTAGCAAATAGTATTTCTGAATGGTCTTAGAAATAATGGAAATTTTACCTACAGTAACATATGTAGCTTAAGTAATAAGTCTCAAAGTGGGATTTGAGAATTTGTATTCTGTACAATCTTTCTTGAATGAAACTATATATATAATATATATATTATATATATATAAACCTTAACCATCATACTCTTTGAATTTTATTTCTGTTTAAAAAATATTTAATATATAAAAGGCAAGGTTTTTTTTTTTCTTTTTGAGACAGAGTCTCACTCTGTCACCCAGGCTGGAATGCAGTGGCATGATCTTGGCTTACTGCAACCTCCGCCTCCAGGGTTCAAGTGATTCTCATGCCTCAGCCTCCCTGAGTAACTGGGATTACAGGCACCTGGCACCAAACCCACCTAATTTTTGTATTTTTAATAGAGACAGGGTTTCACCATGTTGGCCAGGCTGGTCTCGAACTCCTGACCTCAAGTGAGCTGCCCTCCTCGGCCTCCCAAAGTGCTAGGATTACAGGCATGAATCACCACGCCCAACGAAAGGCAATTTTTTAAATGATAGAAAACAAATTCTCACTGCTCTAAGACAATTATCTTCAAATGATTTTATCTTCCAGTCCTTATCTGTGTATGTATGAATAGTTTAAACCAAAAAGTACATAGAATAGCTTTTAAAAACCATACTCTCGGCCAGGAGCAGTGGCTCACGCCTGTAATCTCAGCGCTTTAGGAGGCCGAGGCAGGCAGATCGCGAGGTCAGGAGATCAATACCATCTTGACTAACACGGTGAAACCCCGTCTCTACTAAAAATACAAAAAATTAGCCGGGCGTGGTGGTGGGCGCCTGTAGTCCCAGCTACTTGGGAGGCTGAGGCAGGAGAATGGCGTGAACCCAGGAGGTGGAGCTTGCAGTAAGCCGAGATCATGCCACTGCACTCCAGCCTGGATGACATAGCTAGACTCCGTCTCAAAAAAAAATAAAAATAAAAAAAAAACCATACTCTCTGGCTTCAAATACTTGCCCTGTCATTGTCTAGCTCTTTGATCCTGAGCAAGTTATATCTCTGTGCTTCATCCGTATAGTATTACCTATCTTATGAGGAAGTTTGGAAAATCTAATGAAAAATATTTCTAAAGTACTTAAAACAGAAGCTGGCACATATTAAGCACTGACTAAATATTAGTTATTGTTACACATATTTGTATCGTCAGGATTCTCCAGAGACACAGAAGAAACAGAACCAAATTGGTAAGCTTACTCTCCACTCATGTGTAATATCTCTCAATGAAAAGAAAATCTCACTTGATGAAAAGGATATTCCAGTGCTGTACTACTCATTCATTCAGAAACAACATAAATGGGAATTGAGCATAAAAAGAACTAGAAATACTTTCCTAGATGTCAAGAACCACTATATAATGAAACTAATATATAACTAAAAACTTCATTTATATATTCATTAAAATAAATCATAATAAAAGTTTAATTTAGGTAAAAGTTGTGAGAAAGTGAATGATGGCTCTATACCATGGGACTTGGAAAGGAACAGGACAGGCCTCCTGCCCTCAAATCCAGGCTTATCTCTTACTATACTCCTAAATGCACACACTCTCAGTGTTTTTCACACATTTTTGATAGTAAACCACAATTATTCTGTTATATATTATGGCCCAGGTTATACATGTATGTAACCACAAGTAAACACTTCACAACATAAGCCTTACTCTTACTAAATAAAATGCACTTTTATATTGTTTATAATATTCTATTCTGATCCATTAAAAAAATGTCTGATTTTCTGATTTGATTTCATGACTCACTGGTAAGTTTCTAATTCCGTTTTGAAAGGTTTCCTACACTCCAGGAAAACTGGACCACTTGCTCTTGTCCAAAACCAACCATAATGGTCAATCATTTCTGGATTTACTCAAACTTTTCCTTTGTTATGAATGTCCTTGCTGTTTCTCTTCATCACATGCAAGCCCCACCCCCGTCAGCTTATACTATTTCTCTTTTATAAATCAGACTCATAATTCGAGAGCCTTTGACAATATCCATTTTGTTTATTTTTTCTTTCTCTGATTCTTCTCATCTGCCCAAATAAGATATCTCCAGCTGTACCTCTGTCAATTTATTTATTCCTATAGTATATGGTTCCTTACATTACAAATATTTTTACACATGCTCCTGTTAATGCCTTATACTAATTTTTCTTATTGTTTCAGTTACCTATTGCTGCATGATAAGCTTCCTCAAAACTTAGTGGCTTAAAACAATGGAATTCATTTTGCTCACAAATTTGCAATGTGAGTATCCCTTAATAGAGATAACTCACCTCTGCTCCACTCAGAGTCAGCTGGGATGGCTCAGAGACTGAGTGTAAATCATTTGATGGTCATGCCTATGTTTGGCTAGTTTTTGCTGAGACTTTGGCCAGGGTTGGAGGCCAAAACACCTACCCTTTCCATGGGCTTGAACTTCCTCACAACATGGTGGCTGGTCCGAGAGCAAGCTGGGTGGAAGCCATATTACTTTTTTATGACCTAGTCTCAAAATCACATACTGTCACTTCTGCTGCATTCTATACTTTGAATCAGTCTTAAAGGCCCACCTATAGCCAAGGGATGGGTAAATAAACTACACTTACAGATAGGGGAGTAGCAAGGTTCTGGAAAAACATATAGGAGGAATATTCCCTTAAACACTTTTGGAAAATACAGTATACTACACTAATACTACAACAGTTTTACTAATACTACAAAATACCAGTAATGGCATATATTAAAATTGCAATACCAATACTAATGCTGCAACACTTAAAGAATGCCTCTAATGTCAGCTACCTCACTTTAGTGTACTTCATGTTCATGTCCATCTATCACTAGACACAGGTTTCATAAGAACAGGATTTGTATCTTAGTCCTTTTATTTCAAAACCTTAGCAAGAGGTTTAGCACAGAACAGGCACTTAATATATGTTTGCTGTATGAAGGAAAAGTTTAGGATCATCACATCTTAAAAAACAGTTAAATGATGTCCTTTTTATTTTTTGTTTGTTTGTTTGAGACAGAGTCTCACTCTGCTGCCCATGCTGGAGTGCAGTGGTGCAATCTCAGCTCACTGCAACCCCCACCTCCCAAGTTCAAGTGATTCTTGTGCCTCAGCCTCCAGAGTAGCTGGGATTACAGATGTGTGCTACCACGCCCAGCTGATTTTTGTGTTTTTAGTAGAGATGGGGTTTCAGTATGTTGGCCAAGCTGGTCTTGAATTCTTGACCTCAAGTGATCCGCCCACCTCAGCCTCCCAAAGTGCTGGGATTATAGGTGTGAGCCACCGCACTGACCTAATTATGTCCTTCTTAAGCAATTCTAATTCATTAGTAAATTTCTAGTGTCTAGCTTCACTTCAGTAGTAAAGTGGAAGAGATTATGTCAAAATAGGACATGTTTAATTAGTTAAAAAAATATACTGCCCCTTAAAAATTGAATTAGGATGTAACTATTTGCCACAGGAAATGTTAGGGGAAAAAAATTGCACATTCAGAAGATATTATGAGATGTAGCATTTGTTCCTGCAGTTCATTTTGGCAGACAGCATTCAAAATTAAAGGAAGATTCCATCTTAGAACAGATAGTGTTTTATGTCATCATTTAAGCAGTCAGTGTTTTCCTGGGAAATTATTTCATAGTCCTCAGTCACATCAATACATCACCCAAATACTCTTTTTCTTAATGGAATATTTTTACATGCAAAGCACTTTGGACCGAGATACACGTGGCTTCATTCTACTTCTCTATTAATGCATTTTATGTGCTCCATTCTTTATAATCTGATTCTAATTTTTCAGTGACTATGTTGATTTTAACCTAAATCAATATAATATCATCTTATGTTCATACTATAACCTATAGGGATATCTCAAAGCATTTAGGCTAATGGAATTCCCTCTGAGATGTACAGTTCAGGAGTGATATTAGCTATATTCTAAGTAGGATACTGATGTGTACAAAGATGACATCTTGATTAAAATCTCATCTAAACTCAGAGATAAATCTAGCACTTTCATGTAGGTAGATTTCTCAAAATCATTTTCCCCACAAAGCAAGGTGGTTAACTTTTTAAAAAATTCAGACCATTGTAAAATGCTGATGAAAGATAAGGACCTCACTTTCAGATTGAAAGTAAACAAGCATAATTATATAGTCACACTTTTTTGCATACAAGTGTCAAAATTGTCATAAACTCTCAGGAGAACATCCATTATTCAGAAGTTAAGGGGGGAACTCCTTTGTTCTAGAGGGTACATTCTGTCATTTATAGTGTCGTCATCATCATCATCATCCTCATCCTATCACAATTATATGTTTTTCTACAGTAGTTTAGTATTCTTCAATGTTCATGAGTCTTTATCATTTGATTTTAAAGAATAATTGTGTGTATATATGTATATGTGCATGTATGTATATGAAATATACTGCATATATATGTGATATATTTTCTACTCTATGTGTATGTGTATAGTATATATACTATATACAGTCATATGTAGTCATGAGTCATCTAATGACAGAGAAATGTTCTGAGAAATGCATCATTAGATGATTTTGTCACTGTGCAAACACCGTACAGTGCACTTACACAAACTGAAATGATATAGCCTAATACACACTTTGGCTATATGCTATAGCCTATTGCTCCTAAACTACAAATCCGTACAAAATGTTCCTGTACTGAATACTGTAGGCAGTTATATTACAGTGATAAGCATTTGCATATCTAAATAAAGAAAGGTATAGCAAGGTATAACAAAAATATGGTATTGTAATCTTATGGAATCACTGTTGTATAATGCAGTCTGTCATTGACTGAAATGTTGTTATGCAGCACATGATTGTATATATGTGGGTGTGGTTGCATGGGGGGCGGTATATACTTATTCTACAGTTAATTTAGCAAACATTTACCACTGAGTATATACTTTGTGCCAGGTAGTCTCATAGAAGCTAATAATTAAAGGAATAAAAAGTCCTCTGAAGGAACTCATAACTTTTGGTGTTGATAGACCGACAACAAAAAATTACAGAGTAATTGGAGTGCTAAGCCAAGAGAACTATAGCTGCGATAGATAAGAAAATATTGCAGCAGCACAGCTCAAGAGACAATTAATTCTTCCTTTGGGGAACTCTATTGTAAAAGCTTACATTAAAATAGACATGGACTATCAATGCTTTATCAATGAAATAAGCTCAAATTACCTTACCACTACCACCATTCATTTTCGTTGTACCCTTTTCTGTAATATTTATTTCTGTCCAGTTCATTCTAATTTTTCTTCTAATCCATGCACACATCCAGCCTCTCTGAGCCGTCCTCTCCTATATTTGACTAACAATATTAAAAATCTTTTGCCATAGCATAATCAGGAATGAAATATTCCTTTGTTTCTCTTCTAAACAATTGCTTGGATGTGCAGTGTATTTTCTACTCTAGAACTTTGAGGTAACTTCAGTCATTGATATATTATCTTGGTATGTTATATAATATCTCTATCCTGCTTTTTTTTTCTTTTCTATCTTGGGAAACTTTCTAAAGATTATTGTAATATATTCATATGTAAATTAATCTATTTTTATTTTGTGCAGATTGTCTTTGACATTTATCTACTTAATACTCTTCTATTCTTCTGTTTTCTGGCAAGCTGATGTCTGGTCAAATATTCTTCTGAGATGTAAAAAGGGATCTTTGTATAGAGGAGGAAGGGTTATTTAGGAACCAAAACAAATACAAAAATATCCAGCCTTCCTTGTTTGGGGCATGGCCTGTCTTCAGTTATTCAGTAAATGATTTCTGAGTATAGAACTGAAAATATCATTTCCAGATCTTACTGCCAAATAAAAATCTGGGTCCCTTGTGTGTAAATGGCTGCAGTGATATATTTTTATTGTAGTATGTTGATATAATAACTTGACTGAGTAACCTAGATAGTGCCCAGCACTAGTCACACATCCTCCAATTCAGTGTGATATAATTCTGTGAATGATAAACACACAGTGTCTTAGAGTCATCTAGGCTGATATCAAACCCCACTGAGGATACAGGAGCCACTTCTCCCAATGCCCCTTTGGGCTAGGAGTGATAAAGTCTCCCTATATACTAACCCTGAAGTAATGAGCTACTACTAGAACTGTAGTTTCCCTACATCCTGCCCATACTTAACTTCTAGAAAAACTACTTGAGTTTTCAAAGACAAGAATTAGATTAAAACACAGGCAAAGAGGATCATGCCACAATATCTCCTATTTAAAAAAAATTCTCTTGACTTTCATCCCCTTGCAAAAATCACATCTTATTCTTTTGCTCACATTTATTGCAAAATCCTTGATTTTTTTCTTTTGAACTCACTCCAATTAAGCTTTTGCTCATCTCACTCCACCAACATTAGTGACAAGGTCACCAATGAACTCACTCTTCCCAAATTCCATCAATTGACACATTGACTATTCCATTCTTAATTTGACCTCCAGAATCCTGACTCACTTGAGTTTTTGATACTAACCAGGCTGCTACTTCTTATCCCCTTTTTATGGTTTTTCTTCATCTTCCCAACTTTTAAAAGCCAATCCTTTCTCTATCTATTGACTCGCTTGGTGACCTCATAGAGTCCCATAGCTTCAAATCCCATCTATGTTCCGTCATCCCCCACATTTACAGCTCTGTAACCTACCTCCACTGCTTCCATTCATCTAGATATAATTTCTTCATGGGTATTCCATTTAGATGTCTAATAAGCATCACAAAACTAACTTCCCCAAAATCAAAATCTTTTTTTTAAAACCTCATTGAAAATCTGCTTCGCTTCTTAGGTAACTCTTCCACTATTCTTTCCTTTGCTTTGGCCAAAAATTTAAGAGTCCTTGGATTCTTTATCCTCATCTTTCTCATCCAATATCTATGTAACCTTTTCATCTCTACCTTCAAAATGTATCCAAATCCAGCTACTTCTTCCTACCTACACTGTTCCTCACTAGCAAGATTATAATTATTGCTCACCTGAGCCTCTGTAATGCCCTCTTAAGTACTGTCCTGAGTCTTGCTCCCACCCAGCTTATATTTTCCATGTGGGAGGTAGAGTGCTCTTTAAGGTGTAATTTATATTATGCAACTTTCCCCCTTCAAACCCTCCAGGAGCTTTTCAAGTAAAACAATCCAAGTTTATGTCCTTTGTAGGGACATGGATGAAACTGGAAACCATCATTCTCAGCAAACTATCACAAGGACAAAAAACCAAACACCGCATGTTCTCACTCATAGGTGGGAATTGAACAATGAGAACACATGGACACAGGAAGGGGAACGTCACACTCCGGGGCCTGTTGTGGGGTGGGGGGAGGGGGAAGAGATAGCATTAGGAGATATACCTAACGCTAAATGATGAGTTAATGGGTGCAGCACACCAACATGGCACATGTATACATATGTAACAAACCTTCACACTGTGCACATATACCCTAAAACTTAAAGTATAATAATAATAAAATTAAAAAAAAAACAATCCAAGTTCCTTACTGCATTAGTTAGCACCTCTAAAGGAAAGAAACAGAACATTCAAACTGGGGTTGTATAAAAGACTTTGATAAAGGGAATGTTGGGGAAAACATGGCTTATAGATCATTACCCCAAGGCTAGTAAGGAGGGGAGACTGTATCACTGTTTGTTCTGAAGGATCAAAGAAAGGAGGAGTTGGAAATCTGGGGGGAAAAAAAGAGAGAGAGACAGTTGCAAAGAGAGAGCTGCTTGATAGTATCTGTGACCTTGAGTCAAGGACACAGACAGCCATAGCAACCCCTCAAGCAGATAATCAATACAATAAATTCCCAACTGCCTTCTCCCTACTGCAGATTTCCCGCTTGTGGCTTTGCATTTCCTGCCAGGGAGCCTATGGATGCAACCTACATAGATCAGCCTTCAGGGCAGGGACCAGGTGGCAAAGGTTTCAAGGGACACAGAGATATACTGCAGACACTAATCAAAGCCACAAAGACCCTTTCTGCCCCACCTGGTCATATCTTTTAATGCTTTCCCCTTACTCTGTTCCAGCCACATAAGCCTGCAGGTGTTCAGCAAGCTTCATCTGACTTATGGCCTATATACTTGCATTTCCCTCAAACCTTCCCATGGATGCTTCCAACTCATCAATCCAATCTGTCCTCGGCTAGCTCTTTCCTACAGAGGCCTGTCCTAACAACCTTATCTAAACCAGGCACAGGCCAATCCATCCCCGTCACTTTGACATCCCTAGCCCCTGCATTATCTTCATATCCTCTTCGTGATCTAAGAAATATGCATTTATATGATTGTTTAGTTGTGTATTCATTTATTTTTCCAACTTGTTTATTATTTGTCTCCATGAACAGCATTTAATTTTCAGAAACGAAGATACTTGCTTTGACAGTTTACTATTGGTTCCTAGAGCCTTCAAGTATATGCTCGATAATGTTTTGTTGAATAAGTGAGCTGCAAGTAATTCAATAAAAGTGGAGAGAGGGTAAGGAGGGGACAGTGGTGAGAAATACAACTGTATAAATATAAAGTTCTAGGACTAAGCAAGACCTGGAGTTCAGACTGGATCCCAAGACTGAGTGAAGCCATTGAAAGGTGTAAACAGAGCTGCTCCACATTCAGATATACCATGTTAAAAGATCTTATAGGCTGCAGTGTGCGGAATGGATTAGAAGGAAGTCAGATTAAAGGTAAGAGACCAGTTAGAAGAATAGTACAGAAATCCAGACAAAGACAAAGGAATGGAGAGAACAGAAGAAATTTCAGCTCCCTCTCTTATAATGATGCATTCTGTTTCTCATTTTAAAGTTTATAAAATCAGATATAGTAGCAAAAATAAATAAGCTAAAAAAGTATATTTGGTGGACAAATTGTGGTAGCCCTCACAATTCCGAACTTCTGATGTTCATGTCCTTCTGTGACCCTCGTCCTTGAGGGTGGGTGGGGCTTGCAACTTGTTTTAAAACAACAGAATACAGCAAGAATGGTGGGATGCCACTTCTGTGATTATATTATATAAGACTGTGACCTCTGTCTTGCAAAGAGCCTCTCGTCATTGCTGGCTTTGATAAAGAAAGATCCATGATTGGAAAGCCCACAGGGCAAGGAGCTAAGGGTAGCCTCTAGGAGCTGAGGGCACCTCCGGCTGGCAGCCAGCACTAAATGGAGGCCCCAATACTACAACAACAAGGAACTCAATCCACTGACAACAATGTGAGCTTGGAAATGGACCCTTCCCTAGCTCAACCTTGAGCTAAGACCACAGCTCCAGCTCTGAAGCAGAATACCCAGTTAAGTTATGCCTGACTCCTGACCCATACAAATTTTTTGAGGGAAGAAATTTCTGAGAAATCAAGCTGAAGAAATTATTGAACACTGCACTTTGAAACAAAGAAATATAAATTATGAAAGAGAGGCTAAGGGACATACAGGACAAAGTGAGAAAATTTAACAAACCTTTAATCATAGTCCCAGATGGAAAGAACAGAAACAATGGCGGAAACATAATATTGGAAAACAAAACTAAGACTATTCCAGAATTTATAAATGCCTCAATTTCTCAGAGTCATGAGGTCCAAAGGAATTCAAGCAGTTGAAATAAAAAGATATCCATATCCAAATATTTATATTGAAATTATAAAACACTAAAGACAAAGAAAACGGTTTAAAAGCAGCTAGAGAGGAAAAGAACACCCAATGGAACAAAATTTAAAGTGATATTTCAACAACTATGCATGGTAGAATACAATTATCTTTAATGCACTGAAGTATATAACACTGTCAACATGGAATTCTATATCCAGAAAAAAAAACTCTTTTGAATAAGGGTAAAATAGTGACATTTGAGACCAAAACTATACTGAGTTTAGTAAAGATGAATTAATAATAAAGGAGGAGCTAATGAATGTAATTCAAGAAGAAAAAAAATGACCTCAAAAGGAAGGTGTGAGATACTAAAAGAAACATGAATAAAAGAGAATATAAACTCTCTGGTAAATATTAAATAATCACTGATTATATAAAAAAATCTAATGATAGGGTAAATGTGTCAAGATTGAGCTAAAAGATTGGGCAAAGTTAGTATATATGTGGAAAGTAGCATATCAATATAAAATTTTCTTTACTTGTTTGGGGGAAAGGTGAAAATATTGATAAACTTCAAGCTTTTCTGAGTTAAATATGCACATAAACATTTCTAGAGTACCCATTAAAAATAAAGAAATAGGGCCAAGCATGGTAGCTCACACCTGTAATCCCAGTACTTAGAGAGGCCAAGACAGGAGGATCACTTGGTGTCAGGAGTCTCAGACCAGCCTAGACAACATAGCAAGATCTCATCTCTACAAAATAAAAAAATTAGTTGGGCACGGTGGTGCACACCTGTAGGCCTCAGGGGGCTGAAGTGGGAGGATTTCTTGAACCCAGGAGGTCAAGGTTGCAAAGAGCTATGATCATGGCACTGCACTCTACCCTAGGTGACAGAGCAAGACCTTATCTCTGAAAAAATAAAAACTAAAAAGAAATAGAATAGAAATTGTGCACATAATTTCAAACTAAGAGAGGAAAGGTTTGAAGAAAACTCAGTACCAAACAAAGCAAAAAAGAGTAATAAAAAAAGAAACATTAAAAACAATAAAAAAGCACAAAATAAGAGGGTACAAATAATCCAAATATATTAGAAATCACAATCGATGTAAATTCACTGAACTGGTTGGTTAAAATAGCCATATTGCATTTTTTAAATACAACTATATGCTGTTTATAAGATATACATCCTAAACATAATGATAGACAAAGGATGAATGTAAACTAATAGAAAAATACAAGTCAGCCAATAATAACCAAAGGCAGGTAAAATTATATTGATATTGGGGGAACAAAAGACATCAAGGCAAAGCCTTTACTAAGAGATAAAGAGGATCCTTACACGTTGACAAAAAGGCTCAAGCTATCAGAAAGATGCAACAATTCTGATATATTCTTAATAGCATAACTTCAAAATGTATAAAGCCAAAACTGGCAGAAATATGAAAATAAATTAAAAATTTACTATTGTAGTGAAAGATTTGAACTTCTCTCAATAATTGATAAATGTAGCAGAAAAAAAGCAGTAATAATGGAATATTTCAACAACACAATGAACAAATTTACTCTACTAGGAATCATGCACTGAGAGTGAGAACATACACATATTTTTAAGCTCAAATGAAACATTGATGGAAATTGACTATGATCTGGACCTTATATCAAGATTCAACAAATTTCAAAGAATCAGTATCATATTTACCACATTCTCTAACATCAATGCTATTGTTAGAAATGAATAAGAAAAATTTCATTTGTTTGTAATTAAAAGTATACTTCTAAATAATTGTGGGTTAAAGAAAAATTTATAATTAAATTTTTAAAGTATATATTATTGAATAACAAAATACTACTTAAGAAAACATGAACAATGAAGCTAAATTGGTAATATTTACATTAACTAAAATATAAGGTCACTAAGAATATCCTGACAAAAGATTACAAGAGCTTTATGAAGAAAATTATAACAATTTATATTTAAAGGCAGTAAAGATGATCTAATTAAATTAATAATTTATAATTTTCATAGATAGGAAAACACTATATCATATAAATGTCCACTTTTCCAAAATTGAGCCATATGAAGGTAGTAAAAAAATCAATGAAAGTAAATAAACTTCAGCTTCATCATTCAACCTGATTGTTCTCAAAAAAATATCTTTTGCACAAAAGAAAATCAGTTCTTAGAAAATAACACGCAGAATGATTACATTTATAAAAAGTGTAAAAATAAGCAAAACTAAACAATATATTGTTTAGGCATTACTTAGAAATGAGGTAACATTATAAAAACAAAATGATTTGCTTAAAATTTAAGAGAGAGTTTACCTCTGGGAGGGGGAGAATTTAAGAAAGGATATTTGTAAAGTATTTCTTAGGCTGGTTAGGTGTACACAGGTGTTAGTTTTGTTTCATTTTTCACTAAAATAAACAAGTATGTTATACATGCCAGTAATATTTGTTAAGATTATACTTCTCAAATTGAATAACTGAATTCTACTCTGTTCTGGAAGAGATGGATTTTCAGAGAGAGTAAACCAGGCGAATTCTTGAGGCATTCATCTTACTTAAGATGTTTAAAATGTTTTAACATTATCAGTGTGAATTAGCATTGTACCTAATGATTATAGTAAAATTTTCCTTCTCGGTTTCCATGGCAAACACATTATTCCTTGCCAATTACCCATCGTATGTCATTGCTTTGCAGACATAAATGGATTCCGTCACCTTTGGATTTGGCACTTTATTTTTATCACCTGCTTAGCATCTACTTATACTGATGATTTCTTCTGGATGCATGACTCTACATTTATCCACATTTTCAAATGGATCCTTTCTTACAGGATTCTATATTTCCCTACACCCATTAGCATATCATACTTTATTATAATTTCTCAGTGCTTCTCTTCACCTACTAAACCACAGGCACTGTGAAGTGAGGAGTAAGTTTGCTTTGTTCTCCATTGTATTTCCGGCACCTAACTCAGTGTTTGGCAAAGAGTAGGTCTTCAATAAATGCTTGTTGAACTAATGAATGGACAAGAAAGATGCTCCCAAGTTTCATTGCAAACAGAGATGTAATTACAGCAGCCTAAAGAATAACATGATGACTATTCCCATTTGCTTCCCTGTTTTTCAATTCCTCTACCCTTAGCACTGTACCTGTTATTTAAATGGAGGTTTTCTAGTAGAATTCTTAATGTAGATATGTCCAGCCCATTCTCAGGTTTAAAGCCCCTGTTAAAGCTTTAACTATATGTCTTAATGAGTCACTTGGACTATATAATTTGAAGGAATAATTATTGCCATCTGCTCTGCTGTTGATATTTTGTATCTTATTCTTTAAGGGCAATTTTTACAACATATTCACCTGCTAGAATCTAATAAATGTTTCAAAAATGGGTTGCAAATGCTGCCAAGCTATTGTCATTAATGTTTTCTGAAATTTTTTTGAATAATTTGTTATTGTTTAGGGGTTATCCTTACTTATGAAAAATAAGATTTGCAACACTTGGATTTTTAATCGTGCAATTGTAGGCAGGTTAGTCTCAATCTTTCATTGATTTCCAAAAACCATTGTGCAGTGTGTTTGCTCCAGCTGCAGCACTATATTTAATTTTAGACCATGCCATTTTTATTATAGAAACATAGAACAGTGAGATATTGGAATAGAAAGATTCTTTCAAAATCATCTACTTCTGCCCTCTGATTTTATTTATTGCTACCAGTCTGCCATTCCCTCTCTGAAATGGTGTGTGCAAAAGTAGAATCTATTCCTGAAGATTGATCATTTCTGGAGATGGAGGTTTTTAGTTCAACATCAAAAAAAGTGTTTAAAAAGAAATTTATAGAAAATATTTACTACTAATAAAATAGTAACTTAGGATATTATGACCCTGACATTTTGACAAAATAAGATGGAAGGGCCTTTGTAGCCAGATGGAACTGTGTTCAAATGCCTGATTTTCGATTATACTAACCTAAACCAGGGGAAAGAAACTTCCCTGAAGGGACAGATTGTGGATATTTTAGGCTTTACAATAACTCTCTTTCTAGGTGCTCAGCTCTGTATTTGCAGCTGAAAGTTACCATAGGCAATATATAAATAAATGAGTTTGGCTATGTTCCAATAAAACGTTGTTTACAAAAACAAGCAGCAGGGGGGATTTGGCTGACCACTGATAAACTGTAATTTTCCAGGCACATGAGCTTGAGAAATGTATTTAAACTTAAAGCACTGTAATTGACTCTTGCTTGATAATTAATACAATAACTTTCCACCCTTCACTGCCTCCCCACAGCACGTGTAAATTTTTCCTCTCTGGATTTAAATTTTCTCTATCTCCAGTAGCAGAGTGCCAATCCCTAGTAGGTATTCATCTAATGTCTGTTGAATTACTGAATGATAAAAAATAAGGGTATTCTTAGGAAAACACAAGAAAATCATAAATATAAAATAATCTTAAGTTTTGTGCACAATCATCAAAGCATTTTAAAAACCTAAAGCCCCTTTCTTTCTTTACAAATTTTACATAAACCATGCACGACATTGTACATGTTCAAATATATGACTCTCAAATTTACATTTATAAGAATTTCAAATACAAAAAATAAATTTTCTCAGTGCTTAATCTGAGATTTTTCCCAAAATGAATGGGATTAGGAAATTGGGCATGCTCTAAAGAACCATCTTGATAAATTACTGATACGTGCATTCAGCTGGAATGAAATAGACTAATTAACTAGAACAAGTTTCTCATGAAACTGCATACGGAGGGGTTATGCCACAAGAAAGTTCCAAACTGCTGTTGCAGACCACAGAATTGCCACAGAATATTTTCTGATATAAACACCTGGAAAAATATTTTTTAGGTTACCTGACATATTCTTGCTGAATTTCTCAACTGATGAGTGAAACACTTAGAAACCAGAGGGAATCGTTTTGCACCTGAGAGAACTAACAAGACAGAGATTATTTTTTCCTCTCTCTCCCCTTGGTGGCATCTGCCAAGAACAAAAAGTGTACCTCATTTTGCAAAACTGAGCAATGTCTGCTAGGAAAAGCATAGAATGTCAAACATGAGGTTGCTACAGTATGAGGAGATCTGGTTATTTGTTGTTGTTGTTGTTTGCTTTTTGAGACAGGGTCTTGCTCTGTCACTGAAAAGACCTGCTTTTTTAAACCAAATTTTCCCAAACTTGAACTTTCAGCTGTCTGTGCCTAACAGGGCGACCTTGGCAACCTTCACCAGCTGTGACAAGAACAACAGCAACAGAGAAAGATCCTGCAGCTTACACTTTCTGTCCTTGAAGCTGTTTTGTGTTATTATTTTTTTAATTGTGTTTTGCTATTCTTTATTCCGCAATCCCTGAGAATTTATGAAGGACAACCCTTACATACTCATGGGTTTTTATAAGCAAGGAAAATTATTTTTCTTTAAATGCATCAACTAAAGAGTTCTATCCTTTTCAAAATAGTTATTCTGAGACCATAAGCTTATGCCAGTGATGGTGTCATTGTCTAGGATGTATTTGCAACTCCCCAGTTGGGATCCCTTTGGATTCTCTGCAATGCTATTTTGAACATCTTTGAAAGTAGCAGTGTTTCATCCTTTGAGAGTGTGTTTGATTTTGTATAAGCAGCCCTAAATCATTCAGAGTTAAAGCACATGAACAAGGTGAATGGCCAAATTGCATAATATAGACAGAAATACTGAGGCTTGGGAGCTTCCTGCACTGGGAAAAAGAATATTCCAAATTGTGCAATTGCTGATTTTCCAATGTGACTGCTAGATTCACATTCAACACAACTTCAGAAATGTCCACATTCTAGTAATGCTTGAAGCATTGGAATCAGTACCTAGTTTGACACTGATTTTCTTAAAAAGAGACCACTTTTAAGGAAATATCAAAATGTGTATTTCTTTTAATTAATTTTTAAATTTTCTTTAGAAAAAAATCTTAGTAGTAAACATATATCAGCCTCTATTCTATGCATTTTACAAACATTAGTTCACTAAACCACATAACCACCCTGTAAGGTAGGTACTATCATTAACTTCATTTTACAAATGAGCAAACTGAAATCAAGTAACTTCCTCAAAGTCAAACAGCGAATTAGTATTGAGTTTGACTTAACCCCTACTCAGTTCAACTCCAGAGTATTTTGCATCTTTCTAGATGGCATCAATTTTGCTACTTTATGGCTCTGCCTCCTAATAGTCTGGTCTATACCACGTGGATTCATGTGGGTAACTTCTGTCTCCCAACTCATATTCTCCCACATAATTTAACTATGTCAAGTTCTGTCAGGGAGAATGGTATTTCACTCTAGATAGATATAATATAGGCAACTGGGAGCTTCAAAACCATTAGAAGGGATAGAGGATAAAGGACTGAGAAGGTCTCCCCAGGCTTTCAGAAAGTCAGGAGTTGCCGACCTGCAGGGCATGCCAGCAGCTTCCATAGCTTCCTCCACACTCCAAGATTCACTTCTGCTGTGGTACATGTCTTTTGCTTTTTCTGGAAGAACACAAGTATGTCTTCTGCTTTTCTTCAATGTCCCAAAAGTTTCAAAAGTGTCTCTCATTGGTGGACTTTAATCAGAAACCCAGCTAGCAAGGATTCTGGAAAATGTAGTTCCCATGTGTACAGCCCCTGTGTTACGAGGGAGAGTGAGTACGGAGGCGGGCTGAGTTGCCAACAGTCAGGCATGCTGGAAGCTAAGGAAGGTTTGTTTCAGAACAATTGATATGGTGGCTGTGTAGGCAGGCCAAGTAATAAAAGGTCTGGAAGTGAGACTCTGTGTCAGGAAGTCAAGATTTATTAGTTATCTGCTGTGGATCAGCATTGGAATGGGTGCTATGGGAGATATTAGGCTTACCACCCCCTTTCACATTTTAATATTGATTTGACTGTTAGCTCGAGATGGCCTATTGCTCCCTCTTTAAATGGGATCAAGAATAGTATGATTCCTGATATTAAGAAGGAGTGAGTAATTAGAAGGAAAAGAAAAATGGAAACATCTAAATTGGTTTTTCCCATATCTTATACTCTGGGTGACTTTCCTATTAAGTCATATTTTTCAAAGTGCTGTTTCTTACATAAATAAGCACAGTAAGTGGTGAAGGGAAATGTCTATTTTCACAAGCTTTTACAAGGCTGTGAAAGTTAAGGCTTTAACTATTTATGGTTTTAATTTTAGGCTCAGATGCAGTACAATGACCTAGAAAGGCTAATGCTTTATGGTATAAAGTTTAAAAAATATTCAGCTGAATGACTCTGGGGAACTCCCTTTGGAGATGAAAAACAAAATCATTGGTTAAATTGCTTCCCTCTCTCTCTCTTTTTTTAAATAATTTTTTTAGGAAAGTCATCCACTGTGGGGAGGTGAAATATATGGGTGACATGGAAACCAAGCTTTGGTAAGCAGCCCCTAATACCTCTTCTTAATTATACTGCATGGGGCATAATGCAGGAAACATAATCTAGATAATTTAAACTCAATGTACAGGCTAGTTACAGTGGTTACATTACCCAGTGAAATTATAATGGCATTGAAGATGTAGTTTCATTTTTTATTGTCTTTGTGGTCATGTATGACATCCAAGATGAAAAGGTCACAAAAAGGCTGTGGTTAAATCCATTTCTACCACTGGATAAGGGACCTTTGCAGAAAACAATTATGATCATAATTATAGTTTACATCTGCACAATAATAGTACTTTCATGTTATGTCAATGTCTTTTACAACATTGCTAGTTCAAAGCGATGTATGTCTAAATCACCAAAAGTTCCCTTTGTTATGGGGAGTCAGATCTTAAAATTTCAAGTAATATTATGGAAAGTATGGAGTTCAGCATCAAACCAGAGGTAAAAGACCAGTTTCAGGGCAACATAGGGGGCTTCAGGAGAGCTCATTTAAACAAAGAATGTGCTCTTTCTTTAAGAATTTTGTTCTTTGTTTAATAAATAACAGGTAAAACTGCGGTGAGATTAGTGAGCATCACGTGTCAAAACTGTAATAAGCACTTTAACATTTTTAACTCATACATCCTCCCAACAACCTCAGGATTTGGGCTAATAAAAGCCCTACTTTAGAGATGAGGAAACAGATACACAAAGGTAACCAACTGGTGCAAGGTCACGTTGCACACAAAGGATAGATACAGAAACCAGCCTGATTTCAGAAGCTTGAATCACTGACACAGAGCAGAAGTGTAAGACAAATGTTTTCATTGCATTATAATCACATTATGATTTCCACAACACCTCATTGAAACAGTCCACTACTCGCTTCTGGGTCACTCCTCCTCCCCTTGTTTTTGGCAATTTTAGCTCCAGCCTCAGTGTCCCTCTCTCCCGTATTATTCCTCTCTTAATTACTACTGACTTTAATGTACCTGTAGGCCATGTTTTCCAAATATAGTCTCCAACCAGAGACATCAATACCACGTAATCCTCAGGCCCCTCTCCAGACCAACTGAATTAAAATTTCTGGTAGTAGGGTTTAGTAATCTGAGTTTTAATAACTCTTAATGGGACTTTGATTCAGTTAAAGTTAGGAACCACTGTTATGGATAGTCCACTTCCTTGGTGTCTTAGTTCTTGGACCTCCTTTTCTCCAAAGAACTTGTCCTCAACTCAGGCTCAGCTACCTCTTCTCCAAAGAACTTGTCCTCAACTCAGGCTCAGCCACTTGCTCCTACAGCCATAACCTATGCCTTCCCCATTTTCCCCCTGTAACTTTGTGTCATGCATTCCCTCTCTGAACACTACCTGCATCTTTCCAACTCACTCCTTCTTGTACCCTGAACTCCCTTTCCACTCGACTGTGACCTCCAGTACATTGATTCTATCAGCTTTCATTGCCCCTCACCCTCTTCCTGGCCCCTCTTTTATCCTTATGTAGCTTAAACTTCATTGTTAATTATTATAATCACTCCCTTGGAAAGATTCTGAACACTTTGACCCTCTCTCATTTTCCT